>NC_000022.11:36285321-36436836 GCF_000001405.40 Homo sapiens | reverse complement strand
AACTGAGTAGTGTGATAAGCCGTCTGCCTGTGACACTTTATTTTTTGTTTGTTTGAGACGGAGTTTCGCTCTTGTTGCCCAGGCTGGAGTGCAATGACATGATCTTGGTTCACCGCAACCTCTGCCTCCCAGGTTCAAGCAATTCTCCTGCCTCAGCCTCCCAAGTAGCTGGGATTACAGGCATGTGCCACCACGCCCTGCTAATTTTGTATCTGTAGAGATGGGGTTTCTCCTTGTTGGTCAGGCTGGTCTCAAACTCCCAACCTCAGGTGATCTGCCCACCTCGGCCTCCCAGAGTGCTGGGATTACAGGCGTGAGCCACCATGCCCGGCCTCCACTTTAGTTTTACAAGGGCCCAAAGCAGGAACAAACCTCCAGTCCTGTGGCCTACAGGATGACAGCCTAAGCCCTCCTATCCCCCACTTGACCTTCAATGCCCATAGGGAACCTGCCCCAGCCCATTTCTCATCTGCTGTTCTGGTCATCTTCCCAAAAGACCAACCCTTTCCTTGCCTCCATATTTCTACACTTTGACACTTTGGGTCAAGTGGAAAAAGTCTGGTGGAAGAACTAGTTCTAAATATCAGCTTAGTCACTTACTTGCTGTGTGACTATGGGCAAGCCACTTGACCTCTCTGAGTCTCACTTTGCTCAGCTGGAAAATGAGAAAAGATATGCCTAAGTCTTAGCACTTGTCTGATGATTAATATGCATAAGCTGAAGGAATGAAGGGGGGGTATTTATTGTGCCCCTGCCGCGTGCCAGACCCGGTGAGAGACACTGGCGACGCTGTGGTGAACCCGGCAGTCACAGTGGCTGCTTTTCTGGGGACTGTTCTTGAAGTGGAGGGTGTGATCTATTGCAGCAGGAGGTTGAGTAACTGAGCCTTTGTAACTGTGAGCAGGATTCCTCCTGAGCTGAAGATGAGTGCCTTAAGCCAGGTGTGAGGGTGGGGAAATACCCTAATTTGACAGACGAGGAAAGGAAACTTCCCGCACTCCGCTTTAAGTGGTGGGGCCAGGATTCAAACCCAGGGGCTGCTTTGATGGGCCACCCTGGTTTCCTCTTGCATCCGCACTGCTGAGCAGAGAGCCCGGCACCTAGCGGGATATCAAAGACACAGAGGCCGCCAGCAGTGAAAGCTGTGTTGAAAAGAAGCTAGAGGAAGCTGGTGAAAACCAGAGGTTAGGAGGTGGGGACAGGGAAGGCCGTGAAGGGAGGGGCCTTTTATTGACCAGCCAGCCCTCGGCCAGGTCCCTGCCTCAGACGTGCATGTTGGCAGGAAGAACCTGGCTGGGCATCTCTGTGACTGTGGTTGAATGAAGGAGCACCTGAGCCTTCCTTTTTTTCTTTTTTCTTTTTTTTTCTGAGATGGAATTGTGCTCTTGTTGCCCAGGCTGGAGTGCAATGGCGCGATCCCGGCTCACTGCAACCTCCCCCTCCCACGTTCAAGCAGTTCTCCTGCCTCAGCCTCCTGAGTAGCTGGGATTACAGGCATGTGCCACCACGCCCGGCTAATTTTGTATTTTTAGTAGAAACAGGGTTTCTCCATGTTGGTCAGCCTGGTGTTGAACTCCCAACCTTAGGTGATCCGCCTGCCTCGGCCTCCTAAAGTGCTGGGATTACAGGCGTGAGCCACTACGCCTGGCGCACCTGAGTCTTTCTAGTCCAGGCTGAGCTCTGGGCCGTTCAGCGCTTCTCAAACCCACAGCAGTGCCTCATTGCAAGAGGAGCTGGTGGGATACAGGAGAAAGTGGGGAGGGAAAAGGCGGGTCAAGGAACTGAACTAGAGGCTCACTCGACAGTTCTCCAGGTCTTTGTTGTTTACTGAAGGAACCTTATGAACGTGGCCTTCGCACTCCCTGCTCTGTCTGTGTTTGTTTTAATATAACCGATTCCCTCCCCTCTTGCCAACAAAGGGTTGGAGTAAAACTGACTGCATAGAGCCTGCCTAACTGTGCACTGTCCCTCGCTGTGGACTCTGCACCCCTAGCGCAGGAGGGTCCCAGGGCTCCAGGGGCGAGGCCCCACAGGCACCCCCTTCCCTCCACACAGCCGGTCTTTCCCTCCTCCATTCTCAGACCTCACCCTCCCCACATGTCATAAAGGTCCTGTGCCCTGACCTCACTGAGTCACCTGTTTCTCTGTATCTCTATGTTTCTGTGGCTGCTTCTACCCCTAGACAGTGGCCTCCAACACTTAATTATGGTGGGCAGGGCCACGGTCTGCCTCCCTCGGTGTCCTCAGCACAGCAGGCCTAGCCTGGGTAGGTGGACCCTGGGAAAAGAAATGAGTGAATGAGGCCGGGCGCGGTGGCTCACGCCCGTAATCCCAGCACTTTGGGAGGTCGAGGAGGGCAGATCGCTTGAGGCCAGGAGTTTGAAACCAGCCTGGCCAACATGGTGAAATCCCGTCTCTGCTAAAAATACAAAAACTAGCCAGGCGTGGTGGCTCACGTTTGTAACGCCAGCTGCTCGGGAGGCTGAGGCAGGAGAATCGCTTGAACCCGGTAGGCGGAGGTTGCAGTGAGCCGAGATCGCGCCACTGCACTCCAGCCTGGGCAATAGAGCGAGACTCCATTTCAAAAGAAAGAAAGGAAAGAAAAGAATGAAAGAAAGAAAGAAAGAGAAAAAGAAAGAAAGAAGAAAGAAAGAAAGAAAGAAAGAAAGAAAAAAGAAAGAACGAAAGAAAGAAAAGAGAAAAAGAAAGAAAGAAGAAAGAAAGAAAGAAAGAAAGAAAGAAAGGAAGGAAGGAAGGAAGGAAGGAAGGAAGGAAGGAAGGAAGGAAGAAAGAAATGAGTGAATGAACAAATGGAAGGGCAGTAGGCCCTCTGGGGCTGCGGTGAGCCAGATAATGACCCAAAGATGTCCATGTCCTGATCCCGCAAACCTGCAAATGTGTTAACCTACATGGCAAAAGGGACTTTGCAGATGTGACGGAGTTAGGAATCTGGAGATGGGAAGAAATTCCACCTACGGCCAGCGGCTTCAGTCCCTGCCTGAGCCCCAGCCCGCCCCTCCCGCTGGCCTGCCTGCACCTGTCAGCCTTTCCCAGCCAGCCCCACAATCACATGTGCCAATTCCTTGCAATCTATCTGTCCATCTTTATCTCTGCCTCTATATTTCCTCCAGGTTCTGTTTCTCTGGTTAAGCCCTGACTGATACAGGAGCCCAGGAGATTGGCCTCCTGGGTCTGTATTTGGGAGACCACTCAGAATGTGGCGGAGGTGGGTAGGGGAGAGCCGGCCCAGGAATAGTCCGGGGAGTCTGGTGCCCTTCAGTTGGAGCCTGTGTTGCACCCACATCTCCAGGGCCAGGAGGCTGGTCCTGTTGACCTTGGCTGTGGGCCCAGTGGAGGTGGAGTGCAGGCCCCCACAGGCAGCTGAGCAAACAGGGGAGTGGGGGCTGGGGGAGCAGAGCTGGGGAAGGGACGGGGAGAGGAAGGAGCCGTGGGATGCAGGTGAGGACAAAGAGTGGGCCTGGAGGTGCTGGGAAAGCCGGGCCAACCCTGCCAAGTCCTGCTCCTGTGTCTAGCCTGTGGCCACGCTGAGCCAGGCCCTGGGGACACCACGGAAGACACGACATAGCTCCTGCCCGCATGAAGCACACTGTCCCCGTCCCTGAGCTGCCTGGACCCCCAGTGAGTGCAGCTTCTGGCGCATAGTAAATAGCTATGGAATGAATGATCTGAGACCAGACTCCAGCCAACAGAGGTCCTAGAAAGAGGCATTTGACAAATAAGGCCTGGGAAGAGAGAAAAGGATGACCTGGTGGAGACCTGGAGTAGGGAGTGGGATGAGAAGGGGCCTGGGCTGGGAGGACCAGCTGCCCATGCATGTCCAGGGCAGCCCCACAGCCCTGCGGAGAAGAGTTCTTTTCCGGTCTCACCTCCATCCATCCACCCCCATGCGTGGCTAATTTTCCTTTTTAGGGACAGCTGCCCTTCCCGCTCCCCACAGAGTAATCGGAGCCAGAATCTCTGCCTGGTTTCTGAGAACCCCATCTGCCCAGACCTCGCCTGGACTGTGGTTTTAGCAAATAATTTGGATCCTTCTAGAGCTTGGGGGAGGAAGCTTCCGCCCCTTCCTCCTTAGTGGTGTTAAGAAATGCTCAGCATTCCTGGGTTAAGAGGGCCAGGGGCCATTCTTCTCAGCACAGGGACAGACCCAGAGGAACAAAATGAAGAAGGAACCCAGCACCCGTCCCAGGCTCTCAGCTCCTTCCCGGGGGTCACCTGGGGACTGGCAGGTGAGGCCAATTCATTCAGCTCCCAGGGAAGGAGGCCTTGGGGAGCCCGAGAATGTTCAAGAGCAAGTTCCTGGGGCTTCCCGCACAGGGTTCTGAGCTCCTGTCTCAGAGCTCCCAGAGGAGGCCCTGTCTGGTTCCTGCTAGTCTCCGCATCATGTCTAGTCCAGCCTGGCACCGGGGAGCACTCCATGAGGGTTTATGGATCGGATGCAGGGCGGAGAAGTAGGATGTAGGGTATCAGAAATGGCCTCCAGGAGGGCCCACATCTATGCTGTGGGAAGTAAACAGTGAGCCTGGGGGGTGTGCGCCGGGGCTCAGGCGCTGCTACAGGCCGGATGTGAGGACTCCCATTTATTCCTCACACAGCGCTGTGATTGTGCTACCACGATACCCCCATATCACAGATGAAGGGGCCAGAGCCCAGAAAGGGTAAGTAACTTGTCCAAGGACACACAGCAGATAAGTGCAGGGACCAGTATTTGGACTCCAGAGTTCCTGCTTTTTTGTTTTGTAGAGATGAGTCTCACTAGGTTGCCCAGGCTGGTTTCCAACTCCTGGCCTAAAGCAATCCTCCTGCGTCAGCCTCCTGAGTTGCTGGGACTAGATGCACGGCTACTGCACCCAGCCTGAAGTCCCTGCTTTTAAGTGCTAGGCACACTGCCTCTGGAGAGGGAGGAGGAGAAGTAAAGGCCTGGGTGAGGGGCAGTGAACATGAGATACTTGAGAAAAATAAGAAGGCCCGAGGGGCCAGGTATCGGTGATGACTCATGTCGGTAATACCAGCACTTTGGGAGGCTGAGGCAAGAGGATCACTTGAGCCCAGAAGTTTGGGGCCAGCCAGGGCAACATAGTGAGACCCCCATCTCTACCAAAAAATAGAAAAAATTAGCGGGGCATGGTGGCACATGCCTATGGTCCTGCTACTCAGGAGGCTGAGACAGGAGGATCACTTGAGTCCGGGAGGTTGAGGCTGCAGTGAGCCATGATCATGCCACTGCACTCCAGCCTAGGTGACAGAGTGAGACCCCGTCTCAAAAACAAACAAACAAAAAACCCCAAGGCTGCGGAGCTGATGCGGTGGGTAAGGGTGAGACTCAGGACTCCACTTTCTCTGTCCTGCCCATTGGCGTTCCAGGTAGGACGTCCTTGGGAGACATGGTTTGCTACGTATAGCTACATGGAAAGATCCCAGGACTAACCAACTTGTAAAGCCCTTAGGGCAGGAAGATTTTAGGGTAACTCTTGCATCTGGCTTGGGGTCAGCACGCACTCAGGCCTGCTCTGAGATGGAGGACCACTGGCTCAGTTTACCTTTGGAATGGGCAGGGTCGGGGAGCAGCAAGGACAGGGCCAGGAGTTGGGAAGTCCTGGGCCCATCCCAGACCCTAAGCCCCCTCTGTAACAGTGAGACCCTGGGCACGTCACCTAAGCACTCTGGGCCTCCAATGATAATCCCCTGTCCACCTGGTGTTTTAGTGGGTCAATATGACAGCCGCTGTTCATTCGGCACTGCTAGTGTGTTACCTCGGTGACTCATTCCGGTGACCTACTGGTCACCCCATTCAGCAGATGCTTCCTGGGAAGATGGTGAAGACAAACTGAGCCTTTATGTCCGAATGGCTCTTTACAACCTGCAAAAGGCACTTTCGGACCTAATTCAATTTGATCTTCACACAAATCCAGAAGCCAGGCAGGCATGCTTCATCGTTCCATTTAAAGTTGAAGAAACTGGCTGAGCACGGTGGCTCATGCCTGTAATCCTGTAATCCCAGCTCTTTGGGAGGCTGAGGAAGGAGAATTGCTTGAGGCGAGGAGCAACATGGCAAGACCCTGTCTCTACAAAAAATAAAAATAAAAATAGGTTAGGCACAGTGGCTCATGCCTGTAATCCCAGCACTTTGGGAGGCCGAGATGGGTGGATCACCTGAGGTCGGAAGTTCGAGACCAGCCTGACCAACATGGAGAAACCCCGTCTCTACTAAAAATACAAAACTAGCTGGGCGTGGTGGTGCATGCCTGTAATCCCAGCTACTCGGGAGGCTGAGGCAGGAGAATCACTTGAACCCGGGAGGTGAGCCAAGATCATGCCATTGCACTCCAGCCTGGGCAACAAGAGCGAAATTCTGTCTCAAAAAATAAAATAAATAAACTAAAATAAATAAATAAAAATCATAATTTTTTTAAAGATGAAGAAACCAAGGCAAGCAAAGAAGTGGCTTGCTCAAGATTCATTGATCATTAGGGAACAAAAAAGACCTTCAATCTGGGATTTTTTGACTCCCTGTTCAGTACTTTTTTTACCCGAACCCCCCCCCCCAAAAAAAAGGATACTTTTATAAGCATCCAACACCATTCATCTTGCTGTCTTATCCCAGAATCCTGATCAGAATTCAGATAGTTTGCCGGCCGGGTGCAGTGGTTCACACCTGTAATCCCAGCACTTTGGGAGGCCGAGGCGGGTGGATCGCCTGAGGTCAGGAGTTTCAGACCAGCCTGGCCAACACGGCAAAACCCGTCTCTACTAAAAATGCCAAAATTAGCTGGGTGTGGTGGTGCATGCCTGTGATCCCAGCTACTTGGGAGGCTGAAGCAGGAGAATTGCTTGAACTGGGAGACAGAGGTTGCAGTGAACCGAGATTGCACCACTGCACTCCAGCCTGGGCAATAGACCAAGACTCCATCTAAAAAAAAAAAAAAAAAAAGAATTAACTAATAGTTTGCCATGAATGGAGGATTTTAAAACATGGGAAAATTTTTTTAAAAAATAATTAAAATAGTAGTAATGACAATAGCTACCCTCACTGAGCTGTTTTTTTTTGTTGTTGTTTAGTAAAGACAAGGTTTCACCATGCTGGCCAGGCTGGTCTCGAACTCCTGACCTCAGATGATCTCAGCCTCCCAAAGTGCTGGGATTACAGGCATGAGCCACTGCGCTCAACCTAAGAGCCCACATTTTCAGTCTCTGTGTATCCCTCTACGGCAGTCAGCATTTTGCTTTACGAACAGTATGAGGGCTCCACAAATTTATTTATTTATTTATTTATTTTATTTTATTTTATTTTATTTTTTGAGACGGAGTTTCGCTCTTGTTGCCCAGGCTGGAGTGCAATGGCACCATCTCAGCTCACCACAACCTCTGCCTCCCGGGTTCAAGTGATTCTCCTGCCTCAGTCTCCCAAGTAGCTGGGATTACAGGCATGTGCCACCAAGCCCGGCTAATTTTGTATGTTTAGTAGATACGGGCTTTCTCCATGTTGGTCAGGCTGGTCTCGAACTCCCAACCTCAGGTGATCCGCCTGTCTCGGCTCCAAAGTGCTGGGATTACAGGCATGAACCACCGCACCTGGCCTACAAATTTATTAAGTGAATTAAATAATGTGCCGCTTTTTTTTTTTTTTTTTTTTTGAGAGGCAGTTTTGCTCTTGTTGCCCAGGCTGGAGTGCAATGGCGCGATCTCGGCTCACAGCAACCTCCGCCTCCCGGGTTCAAGCCATTCTCCTGCCTCAGCCTCCCGAGTAGCTGGGATTACAGGCATGCACCACCACGCTTGGCTAATTTTGTATTTTTAGTAGAGATGGGGTTTCTCCATGTTGGTCAGGCCGGTCTCGAACTCCAGACCTCAGGTGATCCGCCCATCTCGGCCTCCCAAAGTGCTGGGATTACAGGCGTGAGCCACCGCCCCCGGCAATGTGTTGCTTTTCTATAGTCCTGAAGTCTCAAAGAAAACTTGCAGGTGGGAAGAGCATGGGATGTGAGGTCAGACCCGGATCTGAATTTCAGCTCCAATGCTTAATGATGGTGTGATCTTAACCTTAATCTCTTCATCTGTAATATGGGTTAACAGCCCTAAACACCGCATCTACCAGCCCCACACACACCTCTGCTTGTTGGGAAGATTAAACTGAGTCAGGCCCATAAAACCTTCTTCCTTTGAAAGGTGTGGTAGGCAGAAAATTGTCCAGGTTCTGGTCCCTGGAAGCTGTGGTTAGGTTGCATAGCAGAGGGAAATTAGGGCTGTAGGTGAAATTAAGGTTGCTGACCTTAAATAGGAAAATTTTCCTAGATTACGTGGGTGGGCCCAATGTAATCACAGGGTCCTTAAATGTGGAAGAGGGAGGAAAAGAGACGGAGACGGAGCATGGCATCTGGCTTTGAAGCCAGGAGGAAGGAGATAGGAGCCAAGGAAGGTGGATGGCCCCAGAAGCTGGAAATGACCAGGAAGTGGATTCTCTCCAGAGCCTCCAGAAGGATCAAGGCCCTGCTGACTTTACTCGGGCTTGGTGAGGTTCCCAATGGACTTCTCACCTCCAGAACCATAAGAGGACGCATTTGTGTTGTTTGATGCCACCAAGTTTATGGTGTTTTTTTTTTTTTTTTTTTTTTTTTGGAGACGGAGTTTCACTCTTGTTTATCACCCAGGCTGGAATGCAGTGGAGTGATATCGGCTCGCTGCAACCTCCGCCTCCCAGGCTTAAGCAATTCTCTTGCTTCAGCCTCCCAAGTAGCTGAGATTACAGGTGCATGCCACCACGCCCAGCTAATTTTTGTATTTTTAGTGAAGACGGGGTTTCACCATGTTGGCCACGCTGGTCTCGAACTCCCGACCTCAGGAGATCCACCCATTATAGCAGTTTTTATAGCCACTGCAGGTCAGTCAGTGTGGGTTCCCTCTGCTACCTCTGGCTCCTTTAACGCCTCCCTCCCTTGACTCTGTACCCCTTTATAATAAGCAGGTCGCTTACGCCTATTTTATACATGAAGAAATGTTACCAGAAAGGGGTCCTGATCCAGACCCCAAGAGAGGATTCTTGGATCTCAGGCAAGAAATAATTCAGGGTGAGTCCAGGGAGTGAAGTGAAAGCAAGTTTATCAGGAAAGTAAAGAAATATAAGAATGGCTACTCCATAGACAGAGCAGCCCCAAGGGTCACTGGTTGCCCATTTTTACAGATATTTCTTGATTATACGCTAAACAAGGAGTAGATTATTCATATTCCCCTTTTTAGATCATATAGGGTGACTTCCTGACATTGCCATGGCATTTGTAAATTGTCATAGTGCTGATGGGAGTGTAGTAGTGAGGACAGCCAGAGGTCACTCTCATTGCTATCTTGGTTTTGGTGGGTTTGGGCCAGCTTCTTTTTTTGTTTGTTTGTTTGTTTGAGATGGAGTTTCACTCTTGTTGCCCAGGCTGGAGTGTAATGGTGCCATCTCGGCTCACTGCAAGCTCTGCCTCCTAGGTTCAAGTGATTCTCCTGCCTCAGCCTCCTGAGTAGCTGGGATTACAGGCATGTGCCACCATGCCCGGCTAATTTTGTATTTTTAGTAGAGACGGGGTTTCTCCATGTGGTGAGGCTGGTCTTGAACTCCTGACCTCAGGTGATTTGCCCGCCTTGACTTCCCAAAGTGCTGGGATTACAGGCGTGAGCCACCACATCTGGCCTTGGGCCAGCTTCTTTACTGCAACCTGTTTTATCAGCAAAGTGTTTATGACCTGTATCTTGTGCTGACCTCCTATCTCATCCTGTGAGATATGTTTTAACCGTCTGGGAATGCAGCCCAGTAGGTCTCAGCCTCATTTTACCCAGCCCCTATTCAAGATGGAGTGGCTGTGGTTCCAATGCCTCTGACACAAACAGGCGGGGAGAGGTTACTCCAGATGGCCAAGGTGGCACACAGCATGGTGGAAATGCACTCGGAAGCCGGACCTCTGACTCCGACTCCTGGACACTTTCTGACAACACACCGCCCCTCCTAAGGGTCTTCAGTCCCTGTAAAAATATCTTAGGAGCCCTGCAATGTGTGGGGGTGGTTCTTTTCATCCAGGCTGGCCCGGAAGCCCTGCCTCCACAGAGACCTCTCTTGCCCCCCATCCCCCGGCTCTTTCCCTTTTGTGTCTTTCTGTCTCTCAGAAAGGGACTGTGGCCTTTGACAATCCCTCTCCCCAGGACCTGGTGGAGAACCAGCACCCAGGAGGTGCCCCGTGAAAATGGGGTTCTCCTCCCCTGGAGCCCAGTCCCCTTCTCTCCCACTCCGGGTAAAGCCTGTCTTCAGAGCCCCTCAAATGGCGAGATTCAAAACTCTATCCCCAGCTCCAGGGAGTCTTCACAGGCTGCCTGGTGGACAGGAGTGGGAGGGAAGCTGCGTCCCCAGTGGCCAGCTGACAGGTCAAAGGGGAAACTGCACTTCCTGCTGGGCCTCCAGGGAGCCTCTTCTCTCTGAGAGGCCAGCTGGGTCCCTGTGTGGGAGCTCCAGGGGGAGACAGGGCAGGGAAAGAGATGGGAGGAGAGAGGAGGAGGGGGAGGGAGGAAGTGGGGCAGGGAGAGGAGGAAGAGGAAGGGAAAAGGGCAGAAGGAGTTGGAAGAGACTGGGAGAGACCAAAAAAATAAATAAATAAAAATACAGTGAGACACAGAAAGGAGAGAACCAGAGACAGAAGGTAACAGAAGATGAGCAGTCAGAGGCATAGAGAAAGAGACAAGAGAAAAGGAAACAAGAGGGGGAAATTAAGTTACTACACAGAGAAAGACAGCAAGAGTGTGGGAGGAAGAGAGAGACACAGGGAGAGTCAGAGATAGACAGAAACCCAGAGAGGAGCAGAAATGCACAGAAGCCCAGAAAACACCTGAGGCCGGTGCGGTGCCTCTCCTGTAATCCCAGCACTTTGAGAGGCCGAGGCAGGAGGATCGCTTAAGGCCAGGAGTTCAAGACCAGCCTGGGCAACAGCGTGAAACGCTGTCTCTGGGAAAAAAAAAAAAAAAAAAAGAAGAAGAAGAAGAAGAAATTGAAAAAATCACCTGAGCTTTCTTTTTTTGTTGTTTGTTTTGTTTTGTTGAGACGGAGTCTCGTTCTGTCACCCAGGCTGGAGCACAGTGGTACGATCGCGGCTCACTGCAACCTCTGCCTCCCGGGTTTAAGCGATTCTCCTGCCTCAGCCTCCCGAGTAGCTGGGACTACAGGCTTGTGCCACCACGCCCGGCTAATTTTTTGTATTTTTAGTAGAGATGGGGTTTCACTATATTGGCCAGACTGCTCTTGAACTCCTGACCTTGCGATCTGCCCCCCTCTGCCTCCCAAAGTGCTGGGAGTACAGGTGTGAGCCCCCACACCTGGCCCCACACCTGAGCTTTCTTTAACCACCTTTCTTTCTCTCTTTTTCTCTTTCTTTTTCTTTCTCTCACTTTCTTTCTCTTTTTGTCTCTCTCTTTCTGTTTTTCTTTCTTCTTTTTTTGTTATGTTAGAGTCTTCTGAAATCTTTGTTTCTCTCTTTCTTTCTCTTTCTTCCTCTCTCTCCCTCTCCTTCCTTCCTTTCTTTTCTTTTTTCTTTCTTTCTTTCTTTTCCTTGCCTTGTGAATCAATTTCTCTCTCCCTCCCTCCCTCCCTCCTTTCTTCCTTTTTTTCTTTCTTTTTAAGATAGAGTCTTGCTCTGTCCCCCAGGCTGGAGTGCAGTGGTGTGATCATAGCTCACTGTAGCCTAGCCTCAACCTCCTGGGCTGAAGCAATTCTCCCACCTCAACTTCCTGAATAGCTGGGACCACAGGCGTGCTCCACCATACCCAGCTAATTTTTTTTTATTATTATTATTTTTGTAGAGACAGGGTCTCGCCATGTTGCCCAGGCTGGTATCAAACTCCTGGGTTGAAGGGATCCTGCTACTTTGGCCTCCCAATGCGCTGAGTTTACAGGCGTGAACCACTGCACATGGCCAAAAACAAAGTTTTTAAACAGTGCCTCAAATCTTATTGGAGTGGCACAATTCACACGCAAGATGCTAAGGAACAACAAGCAGAGGATAAAACCAAATGGTAGGAGGAGAGAGTGCTGGAGCAGGGAGGAGCCACGTGGTGTTCAGGGTAGGCATCCCTGAGAAGGGGTGTTACTGAATTACATCCGTAAACTTAAGTGTGTTAATCAGGACTTTATCTTTTGCAAATGACAGAAACTTGACTCAGTTGGCTTAAAGAAACTGAAATTTAAGCAGGGCACGATGACTCACACCTGTATCCCAGCACTTTGGGAGGCTGAGGCGGGTGGATCACCTGAGGTCAGGAGTTCAAGACCAGCCTGGCCAACATGGAGAAACCTCATCTCTACTAAAAATACAAAAATTATCCAGGGATGGTGGTAGGAGCCTGTAATCCCAGCTACTGGGGAGGCTGAGGCAGGAGAATCACTTGAACCCAGGAGGCGGAGGTTGCGGTGAGCCAAGATCGCGTCACTGCACTCCAGCCTGGGCAACAAGAGTGAAACTCCGTCTCAAAAAAAAAAAAAAAAAAACCCCATCTGTTATTTGTGATTTTCCTCAGTGCCCAGCCCAGCTCCTGCACATAGTAGGCCCTCAGCGATAGTTGGTTGGATTGAATTGTCAAACTGGATGACATATCCACTCTGTCATTCATTCCCTCATTCATTCATTCATTCAACAAGCAAAGCCTGAGCTCCTGCCATTCATCAGGCCCTGTGCCAGGCTCTGGGACACAATGTGGAATAAGGACAGGGCTTTGCCCCCCAGAAGCCTTTGGAATAATAACTTGCAGCTGAATTGCACGATTGTTTATGGTTTGTGGTTCATGAAGCTCTTTCACATATCCTGTCCCATGATCTTGATGTGTGGATGTTGTTGAAGAAATTCAGGAGGAAATTCTGAAGAAGTTCAGGATAAAGACTCTTGGGTGAGGCCATGCCGTAAGTCAGCAGCTGGACTCCCTTCCCAGTGCCCACTCCCTAGGAACAGGCTGCCCACTGTGCATCGGGCCTGAATCGCAGGACACTGCATGGAGCTCCTTCCCTCGTCCGGCTCAGAGTTTGGAAGGTGTCCTGCAGTGGCCCTGGCAGAGCCGGGATGTCATCCTTGGAGGAGTTGCTTGGGGCCGTGGGCCTGGGAAAGGCCTGACGTGTATCCTCTGCCTCCACCACAGGCCTGATAAGAAAGTGACCACAATCCCTTTTGGGCTACTTTCTTGGTCAAAAGAGGAACATAGTCTTGGGTGAAAAGGGAAGATATGGAGAGCACTGCAACTGAGCAACCTGGTCACCATGGAGGATGGGACAGAGCACTGTCAAGTCAGGGTCCCACCACCGGGTGTCTCAGCTCATGAGCTTCCCTCTCTAGTTGGGCTTTTCTGTTTAGTCCCTTCCTTCCCCACCCTACTCGCCCAACCTAACCATGTTTTGGTCAATCCTTTCCTTGTTAAAGTATCCTATTGAGGCCAGACACTGTGGCTTACGGCTGTAATCCCAGCACTTTGGGAGGCCGAGGCGGGTGGATCACCTGAGGTCAGGAGTTCAAGACCAGCCATGACCAACATGGTGAAACCTTGTCTCTACTAAAAATACAAAATTAGCTGAGTGTGCTGGCACACGCCTGTAATCCCACCTACTTGGGAGACTGAGGCAGGAGAATTGTCTGACTCCGGGAGGTGGAGGTTGCAGTGAGCCAAGATCGCAGCATTGCACTTCAGCCTGGGCAACAAGAGCAAAACTCCATCTCAATAAATAAATAAATAAAAATAAATAAACAAATAAATAATAAAGTAATCTATTGCTCAAGGCCCATGTGCAGGCCCACCCCTGGGGAAGGCCCCTGCACAGCTCAGCCCTCACTGACCCGCCTTGCACAGCTCAGCCCTCACTGACCCGCCTGCCTCCTGGGACCATAGCTGGTACTTGTTTTGCATTTGGGGATCCTAACTTGGTTTGAAGCAGAAGCAGATCAGAGACAAAAATTTGAGTACATGTGGTTGATTTGGACTGTGATCCCAGGCAACTTAGATAAGGGAGTGGGTGAGTGAGACAGAGAAGGGAAGCAGGAGCTATCTACCTAGTGAACGGGACCTCCCAGTTATTTGCCCAAGCGTTGAGCGAGCACAGGCTAAGTTGAGAGCTGCTCCCAAAGGGCATTACGTCCTCAGCACTTGCAGCCTCCTGAGCTCGAGTCGAGCCCTTCAGCAAAGTGTCACCGGTGCTGGCAGATGTAAGTCCCACCAGGGTTCAAAATACTGGAGTCCTAACAGTGCCGGCTTCTAGCCTAAGATTTTTTTTTTGCACAAAGGGTTTCACTGTGAAACATACATGTTTGAAAACCTATGTCGTAAGGCAACAACACCCATTTCGCAGACGTGCTAGTAGAATCCTAGAGGTGACAAGGGATTTGCCTCAGGCTTGCCAGCGAGTTAAGAAAAGAATCAAGAGTAGAAGCCAGAAACTAGGTCTGCAGTCTGGGTGTCCAGCACTTTTTTATTTTTTATTATTTATTTATCTATTTATTTTTTGAGACAGAGTTTTGCTCTTGTTGCCCAGGCTGGAGTGCAGTGGCACGATCTCGGCTCACTGCAACCTCCGCCTCCCAGGTTCAAGCGATTCTCCTGCCTCAGCCTCTCAAGTAGCTGGGATTACAGGCATGAGCCACCACACCTGGCTAATTTTGTATTTTTAGAAGAGAAGGGGTTTCTCCATGTTGGTCAGGCTGGTCTTGAACTCCCAACCTCAGGTGATCCGCCCACCTTGGCCCCCCAAAGTGCTGGGATTACAGGCGTGAGCCACTGCGCCCGGCCTATTTTTATTTTATTTTTATTTTTTTCAGCCTTGCTGAGGTTCTCTGCAAAGTGCTTTTTGGAGGAAAAAAAATTATTATTATTATTATTATTTTTTAATTTTTTTTTTTTTAGATGGAATCTCGCTCTGTCGCCCAGGCTGGAGTGCAGTGGCACGATCTCAGCTCACTGCAAACTCCGCCTCCTGGGTTCACACCATTCTCCTGCCTCAGCCTCCTGAGTAGCTGGGACTACAGGCACCTGCCACCACGCCCAGCTAATTTTTTGTATTTTTAGTAGAGACGCGGTTTCACTGTGTTAGCCAGGATGGTCGCTATCTCTTGACCTTGTGATCCGCCTGCCTCGGCCTCCCAAAGTGCTGGGATTACAGGCGTGAGCCACTGCGCCTGGCCCCTGGCTGATGCCCTCAAGAGCATCAACAATGCCAAAAAGAGAGGCAAACGCCAGGTGCTTATTAGGCCATGCTCCAAAGTCATCGTCCGATTTCTCACTGTGATGATAAAGCATGATTACACTGGCGAATTTGAAATCATTGATGGTCACAGAGCTGGGAAAATTGTTGTGACTGTCACAGGCAGGCTCAACAAGTGTGGAGTGATCAGCCCCAGATTTGATGTGCAACTCAAAGATCTAGAAAAATGGCAGAATAATCTGCTTCCATCCCGCCAGTTTGGTTTCATTGTACTGACAACCTCAGCTGGCATCATGGACCATGAAGAAGCAAGACAAAACCACACAGGAGGGAAAATCCTGGGATTCTTTTTCTAGGGATGTAATACACATATTTACAAATAAAATGCCTCATGGAAAAAAAATCTGTAGAGATAGGGTCTCATTATGTTTCTCAGGCTGGTCTCAGAATCCTGGTCTCAAGCAATCCTCCCACCTTGGCCTCCCAAAGCCCTGGCATTAGAGGCATGAGCCACCATGCCCAGCACTAAGCATTTCTCACAAACAACTTTAAGTCCTAGGAGGCAGGCACTATTATTTTCCCCACTTTACACATGAGGAAACTGAGGCTTCCAGCAGACACTTGACAGTTAGTGGTTCTGTGTAAGTCCCAACAGGAGACTTTTGGTTAGAATAATTCAAAGGTACATGGCTTCTGTTTTATCTCAAATTAAAAAATAATAACAGGCTGGGTGTGGTGGCTCATGCCTATAATTCCAGCACTTTGGGAGGCCGAGGCGGGTGGATCCCTTGAGGCCAGGAGCTTGAGACCTGCCTGGCCAACATGCTGAAACCCCGTCTCTGCTAAAAATACAAAAATTAGCCAGGTATGGTAGCTCACTCCTGTAATTCCAGCTACTCAGGAAGCTGAGGCAGGAGAATAGCTTGAACTCAGGAGGTGGAAGTTGCAGTGAACCAAGTTCTCACCACTGCACTATAGCCTGGGCAACAGAGCAAGACTCTCTCCAAATAAATAAATAAAAACAACACGTGAGAAAGGTCTGTTCAGTCCAAACGCCCAGCAACAGCTGTTCTGTTCTCCTTTGTACTCATTCTAGTCTGTCTGGAGGATTCTGCCTGGTGGCTCCTGTCAGAGTCTTCCCTGATCTCAGCAGAGCCCATGTTTTCTAGAAGAACACAGACACCAGTCTCTGTAACCAAACGACTTTTCTTTGGCTTCTGGGAATGTCCACTCCTTCATGTTTCCTCAGCTGCTCCTGGGAGTCCCTAGAGAAATTCCTCCGGCCAGTGGCTTTGTGAGACTTTAGTGGAACAGCTATTCCTATGTTTGCTCAGTCACAGTGGCATCCCATCTTCCAGGAGTCAAACTCCAGCTCGAGAGGGCTGCTCGCAAGAGTAACTCACTCATGGCTTTTTTTTTTTTTTTTTTTGAGACGGAGTATCGCTCTGTTGCCCAGGCTGGAGTGCAATGACGCTATCTCAGCTCACTGCAACCTTTGCCTCCCGGGTTCAAGCAATTCTCCTGCCCCAGACTCTCGAGTAGCTGGGATTATAGGCACCCACCACCACGCCAGGCTAATTTTTTTTTTTTTTTTTGAGGCGGAGTCTCATTCTGTCTCCCAGGCTGGAGTGCAGTGGTGCGATCTCGGCTCAGCCTCCCGAGTGGCTGGGACTACAGGCACCCGCCACCACGCCCAGCTAATTTTTTGTATTTTTAGTAGAGATGGGGTTTCACCATCTTGGCCAGGCTAGTCTCAAACTCCTGACCTCAGGTGATCCACCTGCCTCAGCCTCCCAAAGTGCTGGGATTATAGGCGTGAGGCACCGCACCTGGCCTGCTGGTCTCTGTTTAAAAAGTGAAAGAAAACAAAAGAAAGAAAGAAATCAGGCTGGGCACGGTGGCTCACGTGGCTGGGTGGGCTGCTCAGGCTGTCTGAGGTCCGGTTTGAGAGATCACAGACCCTAGGAGGTGACAGAGCCAGGGCACCAGAGGGGGCTCCCACGGAGCAGAGTCCTGGTCCTGCCTGCTGCCTTTTCTTGCCATTGCAGTTTGTGACATTCCAGAACACCCCCAGACATGTGGTTTTTGTATACAAGTCCTCGCGGCTAGCGTTTAGCAATGCACTTTCATCTCAGAGTAAACACATTTTCAGTTTTATTTTTGCTCCCGCCTTATCTCCCTGAGCCCCAGCTGAGGCCCTGAAAGGAGGGCAAAGGCTCTTCCCCAAACATTGGCCTTTTGTTAATGACTTTCATCCTGGTCACGTGGACTGAAGCAGCAGTCCTCCAGACATTTCTCTGGTCCTTTGAAAACAAGCAAGAGCCTGGGAAGGCAGGAGCACACACACCCAGCCCCAGCCCCTGGCTCCGGTTTAACGGAGGAAGAGAGGAATGGATGTGTGTGGGGTGCCCTTTCTCTTCTGTTCTTCTGTTCTTCCTTTTCTTTTTCTCTTTTTTTTTTTTTTTTTTTTTTTGAGAGAGAGTCTCGCTCTGTCACCCAGGCTGAAGTGCAGTGGTATGGTCTCGGCTCACTGCAACCTCTGCCTCCCGAGTTCAAGCTATTCTCCTGCCTCAGCCTCCCGAGAGGCTGGGACTACAGGCACCCGTCACCATGCCTGGCTAATTTTTTTATTTTCAGTAGAGATGATGGTTCACCAGGTTGGCCAGGCTGGTCTCGAACTCCTGACCTCGTGATCCACCCGCCTCAGCCTCCCAAAGTGCTGGGATTACAGGCTTGAGCCACAGCGCCCAGCCTAGCTAGTCCTTGATTTGGTTCAATGTGTGAGCCCCACCTCCAGAGTCGAGTCCCACCTCCTACATCAATCCCAGCGCTTTGGGAGACCGAGGAGTTTGAGACCAATGTAGGCAACATAGTGACACCCAGTCGCTATTTTTTTTTTTTTTTTTTGAGATGGAGTCTCACTCTGTCGCCCAGGCTGGTGTGCAGTGGCGCGATCTCCGCCTCCCGGTTCACGCCATTCTCCTGCCTCAGCCTCCCGAATAGCTGGGACTACAGGTGCCTGCCACCACGCCCGGCTAATTTTTTTTGTATTTTTAGTAGAGACGGGGTTTCACCGTGTTGGCCAGGATGGTCTCCATCTCCTGACCTCGTGATCCACCTGCCTCAGCCTCCCAAAGTGCTGGGATTACAGGCGTGAGCCACCGCGCCCGGCCCCCAGTCGCTATTAAAAAATAAAAGTACCAGGCCGGGCGCGGTGGCTCACGCCTGTAATCCCAGCACTTTGGGAGGCTGAGGCGGGTGGATCACAAGGTCAAGAGATTGAGACCAGCCTGGCCAACACGGTGAAACCCCGTCTCTACTAAAAATACAAAAATTAGCCAGACGTGGTGGCAGGCGCCTGTAGTACCAGCTAATCGGGAGGCTGAGGCAGGAGAATCGCTTGAACCCGGGAGGCAGAGGTTGCAGTGAGCCGAGATCGCGCCACTGCACTCCAGCCTGGTGACAGAGAGAGACTCCTTCTCAAAAATAAATAAATAAATAAAATAAAATAAAAGTACCAGCCTGGGCAACATGGCAAAACCCCATCTCTACAAGAAATACAAAAATTAGTGGGCATGGTGGTGCACACCCATGGTCCCAGCTACTCGGGAGGCTGAGGTGGGAGGATCACCTGAGCCTGGGAGGCCAAGGCTGCAGTGAGTCTTGATCATGACACTGTACTCCAGCCTGAGTGACAGAGTGAGACACTGTCTCAAAAAAAAAATTAATTAATTAAAATTAGAAAATAAAACAGGTAAAGTGGCCAGGTGCGGTGGTCATGCCTGAAATCCCAGCAATTTGGGAGGCTGAAGCGGGCAGATCACCTGAGGTCAGGAGTTTGAGACCAGCCTGGCCAACATGGTGAAACCCTGCCGCTACTAAAAATACAAAAATGAGTCGGGCGTGGTGGTGGGTGCCTGTAATTCCAGTTACTGGGGAGGCTGAGACAGCAGAACTGCTTGAATCCAGGAGGCAGAGGTAGCAGTGAGCCGAGATCGTGCCATTGTACTCCGGCCTGGGCAACAGAGTGAGACTCTGTCTCAAACAAAGAAAAAAACATGTAAAGTGCTTACGTGGTTCCCGGCACATGGCAGGCACTCAGCAGATATTGGCTGTGATTCCAGGCAGAACTCAGCCCCATGGGGAGTGGCCAAAGGAACACCAAGCGCCCTGGCTGAGACTTGAAAACACCTGGGCTAAACCTCAGCTCTGCCACTTCCTGTGTGGCCTTGGGCAAGTGACCTCATCTCTCTGAGCCATGGATTCCTCATCATTCCGAGATGATTATGCTTCCTCTGCTTATTTTTTGGGGACGAGATCAAATGAGAGCCTGGATGTCTACGATGCTGCTCTAGAACAGTGTCCTAGGCACCCCTTGCTGCCTGTGTCCCTGGCTTGTGAAAGGCAGAATCAGCATTTTGCACTCAACTTTTCCCCGCAGCCCCTCAATGGACACTTGGTGTCTGACCAGTGCTGCTCTGAATCCTGGCACTCTGTCCCCAGCTGTTTGATGTTGCAAGGGCAGAACCCCAACATGGGGGAACTGAAAGGGAATTTATTGGTTGGCAATAAATAATAATAATAAATAAAAGTCCAGGTGGAGCTGGGTGCAGGAGTCCAGATGATACTGTCAGGACTCTGTCCCTCAGCCCTGCTCTCCTCTGTGCAGGATTTATTTTCAGGCAGTTTCTCCCAACATGACGGCAAAGACCACCAGCTGCTCCATCCAGGTTCACATCAGGCCAATTAGCAACCTTAGGGGAAAGAGAGCATCTGGCCAGGCGAGGTGGCTCACTCCTGTAATCCCAGTACTTTGGGAAGCCGAGGCGGGTGGATCACCTGTTCAAGACCAGGTGAGGAGTTCAAGACCAGCCTGGCCAACATGGTGAAACCCCATCTCTACAAAAATACAAAAATTAGCCGGGCATGATGGTGGGTGCCTGTAATCCCAGCTACTCGGGAGCCTGAGGTGGAAGAATTGCTCGAACCCAGGAGGCAGAGGTTGCAGTGAGGCTGAGATCGTGCCATTGCACTCCAGCCTGGGTGATAGAGCAAGGCTCCATCTCAAAAGAAAAAAAAGAAATCTTGGCCAGGCACAGTGGCTCACATCTGTAATCCCAGCACTTTGGGAGGCCGAGGTGAGCAAATCATGAGGTCAGGAGTTCAAGACCGGCCTGGCCAACATAGTGAAACCACATCTCTACTAAAAATACAAAAACTAGCCAGGCGTGGTGGCGGGCACCTGTAGTCCCAGCTACTCGGGAGGCTGAGGCAGGAGAATCGCTTGAACCTGGGAGGCGCAGGTTGCAGTGAGCCAAGATCGCACCACTGCACTCCAGCCCAGGCAACAGTGTGAGACTCTGTATCAAAAAAAAAAAAAAGAAAAGAAAAGAAAACAAAAGAAAAGAAAAGAAAAGAAAAGAAAAAAGACCGGGTGTGGTGGTTCACACCTATAGTCCTAGCACTTTGGGAGGCCGAGGAGGATGGATCACCTAAGGTCAGGAGCTTGAGACCAGCCTCACCAACATGGAGAAACCCTGTCTCTACTAAAAATACAAAATTAGCCAGGCGTGGTGGTGCATGCCTGTAAACCCGGCTACTCAGGAAGCTGAGGCAAGAGAATCGCTTGAACCCAGGAGGCGGAGGTTGCAGTGAGCAGAGATCGCACGATTGCACTCCAGCCTGGGCAACAAGAGTGAAACTCTGTCTCAAAAAAAAAAAAAAAAAAAAAAAAAGAAAGAAAAAAAAGAAAAGAAAAAAAGAAAGAAAGAGAGCTTCTTTCTCTAACTTGTTCCAGCAAATAGCCTGGGGCTACTTCCATCTCTGGACTTGATCGCAAGACCATCCTGGAACATACTCCTGGGATCCTGATTGGTTAGGCCGAAGTCATGTGCCCACTCCAGACTTGAGAAAAAGGATCGGCCCAGCTTGACTCATGGGAGTTGAGTATGGGAGGCTGGTGACTCCCCAAAGGGAAAGGGGACATGCTGTTGTCAGGAGACGGGTATGACACTGGGTGGGCAGAGGCAACAGGTGACAGCTACAGGTGTTATGAGCCCTGGCCAGGAAGCTGGGATTGTGATCCAAGCTCTATCATTTACTCTCTTCGTGGCCTTGAGGAAGTCACTGACCCTTTCTGAGCTTTGGTTTTCTCATCTGTAAAAGAGAGTTTGACTCTATCACTGGGTCCCAAACCAAGCTGTTGCTAAAATCGCCTGGTGAGCTTTTAAAAATGTAAATTCAGCCAGGTGTGGTGGCTCACATCTGTAATCCTAGCACTCTGGGAGGCCCATGCAGGAGGATCCCTCAAGCCTAGGAGTTCAAGACCAGCCTCGGCAACATAGTGAGACCTCTCCTCTACGAAAAAAAAAAAAAAAAAGTAAATTCTCTGGTCCCATCCTAGACATTTTGATTCAGCTGGTCTGGGGTAGGACCAAGGACTCTGCATTTTTGACAACAACCCCAGAGGATTCTGATTGTTTGTTGTTGTGTTTTTCTTCTTTTCTTTTTTTTTTTAAGATGATCACTCCGTTGCCCAAGCTGGAGTGCAGTGGTGCGATCTCGGCTCACTGCAACCTCTGCTTCCTGGACTCAAGCGATTATCCTGCCTCAGCCTCCCGAGTAGCTGGGATTACAGGCGCCTGCCACCATGCCTGGCTAATTTTTTGTATTTTTAGTAGAGACGGGGTTTCACCATGTTGGCCAGGCTGGTCTCGAACTCCTGACCTCAGGTGATCTGCCCACCTCGGCCTCCCAAAGTGCTGGCATTACAGGCATAAGCCACAGTGCCCAGCCTGATGTGATTTTAATTTTGGAGTTCACTGGCTGAGATGGTTCCCAAGGTCCTTCCCACTCTAATGGCCTCTAATTCTGGAGTCAATCAATGTTGGCTGAAAGGCTGAGCAGAAAGATCCCGACTGTTGGCCGGGTGCAGTGGCCTGTAATCCCAGCACTTTGGGAGGCCGAGGCAGGTGGATCACTTGAGGTCACAAGTTTGAGACCAACCATGGCTATCATGGCAAAACCCTGTCTCTATTAAAAATAAAAAAAATTCACCGGGCATGGTGGTACTTGCCTGTAATCCCAGCTACTTAGGAGGCTGAGACAAGAGGATCACTTAACTAAGGAGGTGGAGGTTGCAGTGAGCTGAGATCAAGTCACTGCACTCCAGCCTGGGCGACAGAGCGAAACTCCATCTCGAAAAAAAAAAAAAGATCTCAATTGAGACAAGCAGACCACAGTGCTCACGAAATGCCCAGCCCTGCCCTGTATCCTTTCTTTTTTTTCTTTTTTTGAGGAGGAGTCTTGCTCTGTCGCCCAGGCTGGAGTGCAGTGGCATGATCTTGGCTCACTGCAAGCTCCGCCTCCCAGGTTCATGCCATTCTCCTGCCTCAGCCTCCCAAGTAGTAGCTGGGACTACAGGTGCCCGCCACCATACCCGGCTAATTTTTTGTATTTTTAGTAGAGATGGGGTTTCACTGTGTTAGCCAGGATAGTCTCGATCTCCTGACCTCGTGATCCGCCTGCCTCGGCCTCCCCAAGTGCTGGGATTACAGGCGTGAGCCACTGCGCTCAGCTTTTTTTTTTTTTTTTTTTTTGAGACAGAGTCTCACTCTGTCACCAGGCTGGAGTGGAATGGCGAGATCTCGGCTCACTGCAACCTCTGCCTCCCGGGTTCAAGCGATTCTCCTGCCTCAGCCTCCCAAGTAGCTGGGACTACAGGCGCCTGCAACCACCCCGGCTGATTTTTGTATATTTAGTAGAGATGGTTTTTTGCCATGTTGGCCAGGCTGGTTTTGAACTCCTGACCTCAGGTGATCCACCAGCCTCTGCCTCCAAGAGTGCTGGCATTACAGGCATGAGGCACTGTGCCTGGCCCCTGTAGATCCTTTCATGGGTGGGCCTGTGGCTAGGTCTGGCTAATGATATGGCAGTGAAAGTGACATATGTCACTTCCAGGATGAGGTAGTTAAAAGCCTATACCCCAGATGTCAGTCTCTCTCTCGCCTGCCTTGATGAATGATTTGTACAGCAGCCCTGTACTGCAGGGGCACTTGCCACACGCAGCGAAGACGTGATGGTGGGCACAGCAGAGAAAGTGGGCTTGGGCCTTGGCATTCTCCCACCCCTCCTTTCTCCAGCTGGATGAGAGTCTGCAATGAAGAATGGTGGGGGTCAGGATCAGACTGTGGGCCCCAGAGGAGGAAGAACAGGAAGGCTGTCCAAGGCCAGAGGCATCCTAGGACAGCTGGAGAAGTCTCACAGTGGATTGGCAGGATGGCCCGGGGCTACGCCAACCCCATGTAAGGCATTAAGGTGAGGGGAGAGCTATTGCTCCTTAATGAGGTGTTCGTCCTCATCAAGGTTGAAGGGCAAGTCCACTGGGGAGGAGTGACTCACCCAGCGTCCCTGGATACCTCTGATGCTGAGGGAACTCCAGCCCGAGGGCTTCCAAACCGAGGTCATTTCCCTCCATAGACCATGACTTCAGAGCGGCTTTGAGAATGCTGACAGCAATGAGTGGCCACTCCATTCAGAGGTGACCCTTGTTAGGGTTTGGACATTTTCCCCATTGATCTTAGGAAAAACCATGACTCTGGTTTTCCATGGTAAATTCTAGCATGTAGACAACAGGGTAAACTTTGCATTTGGGCTTCTCCTTACCCCAGGGGAGGAGGCCTTGACCTATGAAGTTGAAAAATAATTTCTTTTTTTTTTTTTTCTTTTGAGACAGAGTTTCGCTCTTATTGCCCAGGCTGGAGTGCAATGGCACGATCTCAGCTCACCACAACCTCCGCCTCCCGGGTTCAAGCAATGCTCCCGCCTCGGCCTTCCAAGTAGCTGAGATTACAGGCGCACACCACCACGCCCAGCTAATTTTTGTATTTTTAGTAGAGACGGGGTTTCACCATGTTGGTTAGGCTGGTCTCGAACTCCTGACCTCGTGATCCGCTCGCCTCGGCCTCCCAAAGTGCTGGGATTACAGGCATAAGCCACCATGCCCGGCTGAAAAATAATTTCAGATTATATATTTTTATTACTTTTTTTTTTGAGATGGAGTCTTCCTCTGTCGCCAGGCTGGAGTGTGGTGGCACGATCTCAACTCACTGCAACCTCCACTTCCCGGGTTCAAGCGATTCCCCTGCCTCAGCCTCCCGAGTAGTTGGGACTACAGGTACACACCACCATGCCCGACTAATTTTTGTATTTTTAGTAGAGACGGGGTTTCACCCTGTTGGCCAAGATGGTCTCGATCTTCTGACCTTGTGATCCGCCCACCTCGGCCTCCCAAAGTGCTGGGATTACAGGTGTGAGCCACTGTGCCCAGCCTTTTTATTACTTATTATGTTTTAAATAATGTATTACATTTCAATTTAAATTCTATATCTCTAAAAAGAATATATATATGTATGTATATATGTGATGTGTGTGTGCGTGTGTGTATATATATATGTATTTTGAGACAAGGTCTCACTCTCACTCAGACTGGTGTGCAGGGGTGTGATTATAGCTCACTGCAGCCTCCAACTCCCAGGCTCAAGCGATCCTCCCACCTCAGCCTCCCAAGTAGCTGGGACTACAGGTGCATGCCACCATGCCCAGCTAATTTTTAAAAAATTTTTTGGTAGAGACAAGGTCTTGCTTTGTTGCCCAGGCTAGGTAAAAAAGAATATATTCTCATAATACCAATTCAGCAGGTGAAATCATCCGTCCAAGGTCACACAGTAAATAAAAGGCCCAGCCAGGGCCAAGGTCATGCTTTTTCCAGTGTGCTGGCTGCCTCACCATACCACTAACTAACATTGGTGTAATGTTTTTCTGTTTATAAACGTGTCATAAGTCATTTACAACTCATGACAATCCTATGTGGCAGGCAGGGCAAACAATATCGTATCCAGAAGACAGCTGATGAGATGAAACCAGCTTCCAGGAGGTGCCATGGTTCTGCTACCACACGTGGCCTGGCTTTGTGCCAAGTGCTTTGAAAACCTTAACTCAGGCTGGGCACAGTGGCTCACACTTGTAATCCCAGTACTTTGTGGGGCTCAGGTGGGAGGATTGCTTCAACCCAGGAGTTCAAGACCAGCATGGGCAACACAGTAAGAACCCAATTTCTCTTTGTTTTTTGTTTTGTTTTTTTTTTTGAGACGGAGTCTCGCTCTGTCTCCCAGGCTGGAGTGTAGTGGTGCGATCTTGGCTCACTGCAAGCTCCGCCTCCCGGGTTCACGCCTTTCTCCTGCCTCAACCTCCCCAGTAGCTGGGACTACAGTTGCCCACCACCACACCCGGCTAATTTTTTTTTCTTTTTTTTATATTTTTAGTAGAGACGGGGTTTCACTGTGTTAGTCGGGATAGTCTCAATCTCCTGACCTCGTGATCTGCCCGCCTCGGCCTCCCAAAGTGCTGGGATTACAGGTGTGAGCCACTGCGCCCAGCTAGTAAGACTCAATTTCTACAAAAATAAGAAAAAAATTAGCCAGGTGTGGTGGTGCATGCCTGTAGTTCCAGCTACTTGGGAGGCTGAGGCAGGAGGATCGCTTGAGCTTGGGAGGTTGAGGCTGCAGTCAGCTGTGTTTGTGCCACTGCACTCCAGCTTGGGTGACAGAGATCCTGTCTCAATCAATAAACCTTAACTCATTTAATCCTAACAACAGCCCATGGAATTCTTTACAGTTGAAGAAAGTGAGAATCAGAAGATAAAGTAAGTGATTTGCTTAAGGTTGGAACACAAGTAACTGGGAAAAGCAGGATTTGAATTCAAATCTGTCTAACCGAAGTGATACTCTTAACCACCAAGCACAATGGCTTGCAAAGACCCTCGTGTTTTCCATTTGACTAGCCATTGGTCCTCATATCGTAGCTGGGAGGGCAGTGTTATTATTCCTATTTTCCAGATGAGGAAAATGAGGCTTGGAAAGGTGACGCGGATTGCCCAAAGTCGCATAGCTAACAAGTGGTGGAGGCAGAACTTGGACTTGCCTCTTGTTCTCTGAGAGGCTCTGACCCCCAGCAGCGAGGCCTTGGCTCTCCTGCGGACGCCGAGTCCTTAACTCAGAGAAGCGTGGCTACATCTGCAGTGATTTCTCTGCGTTCACCGAGACTACGTGGGCACCGGGCACCTGGAGCTTGGCAGGAACTACGCGGAGGGAGGGAAGGGGTCAGCCCGGGGATCAGGCGACATGGCCTCCAGCTTCCGTGAAGCCTGAGCTTGTGTGATTACAGGGCCGTAGGCCTCGCTTCAGCAGTCTTGACGGCGGCTTGTTTCTCCGGCTTCTGGAATTTCAGTTCTTCCTGCCACAGCAGAAACGTGGCAGAGCTCCCAGAGCATCCTGAGAACGGGAACCTGGGCGACCTGCGGCGCCTCCGCAACCATTGGTTGTCGTGAGGCGCGGGGTCGTGTGTCAATTTGCATAACGTATTCGATAGGCTAATGAGACGGAAGTGGGCGTGCCCTGGCTAACCCACCTGTCCTTGGGTGGAGCGCGCAGGACTTCCGGGCAGGAAGGGTGGAGGGGCTACCTGGCTGCGGCGAGTGGGGCTGGGCAGGGGCCTGAAACTTCGCCGCCGCGCTCTCCGCTGCACCGCCCGTGTATGTAACCTGAAACGGCGGGTGTGAGGGACTCGCTGTAAACATGAATCGGCTGGAGCAGGACACAAAACATAAGGACGTTGGTTACTTCTCCGGGTGGGCAAATTTCCCTGGCGGGGGCCGTGAGAATACAAGTGGAAAGGAGATTTTCATTGTAAAATCTTTTATGCCCCAACTGAATCATGGGAGCCTATTAAAAGGCTATTATACATTAAAAGGCCGGGCGCGGTGGCCCACGCCTGTAATCCCAGCACTCTGGGAGGCCGAGGCTGGCGGATCACTTGAGGCCAGGAGTTCGAGACCAGCCTGGCCAACATGGCGAACCCCTGTCTCTACTAAAAAAAATTAGCCGGGCATGGCGGTGCGCGCCTCTAATCCCAGCTGCTTGGGCGGCTGAGGCAAGAGAATCGCTTGAACCTGGGAGGCGGAGGTTGCAGTGAGCTGAGATTGCACCACTGCACTCCAGCCTGGGCAATAGAGTGATACCCTGTCTCAAATAAATAAACACACGTGTGTTTTTATTATGTGTATATGTGTATATGGATAGATATAGATATTGATGATATATAGATACAGATTGCTCTTCTTAGGACACTATCAGAGACTTGTAAACTCCAAACAACCTGGCATTCAAAGCCCTCTGCAACCTGCCCTAGCCTCCTCCTCACCTGCTTATCAACCCTAAACCCAAAGCCACATGGATTGGTCTCCCTAACCCGGTTTTCTGCCCCTGGAAACAGCTTTGCCCTTGACTGCCCTTGCCATTCCTTCCACATGAGATTCTCTCTCTCATTATATTGCCACCTTTGAAGTTTCACCCAGCCTAAAGGGATCACTCAGAGGCCTCCTCGTCCCTGCCCAGAGGTCAGAACTGATCTCTGCCTTCCCTGTACTTCCAGGACAATTAGTTTGTACTTGTGTAAGAGTACTTCTTAGAATGTCACCAAGACAGTCCCCTACAGTCCCAGATGGTTCATCAGCACAGCTTCACAGCCTTGGCTCAGTGTCATTTATTGATTCAATAAACATTTTTTGTTTTTAATTTTTTAATTATTATTATTTTTGTAATTTTTAGTAGAGACGGGGTTTCACTGTGTTAGCCAGGATGGTCTCGATCTCCTGACCTCGTGATCTGCCTGCCTCGGCTTCCCAAAGTGCTGGGATTACAGGCGTGAGCCACTGTGCCTGGCCCATCAACAAACATTTATTAAATGCAGGGCTGTTGTAGGCACTGGAGATAGGGCAGGGGACTAACCCTAAAAGTTCCTGCCCTCCTGGAGTTTATGTTTTAGTGAAGACAAAGAGTAAATGGATAAAGCAACACAGTGTGCAATTTGTCAGGCCATGGCAAGGACATGAAGAAAACTAAAGCAAGGGAAGGGGCTGGGTGCATTGGCTCACACATGTAATCCCAGCACTTTGGGACATGGAGGAGGCAGATCACCTGAGGTCAGGAGTTTGAGACCAGCCTGGCCAACATGGTGAAACCTCGTTTTTACTAAAATACAAAAATTAGCCAAACCTGGTGGCAGGCGCCTGTAATCCCAGCTACTCAGGAGGCTGAGCCAGGAGAATCGCCTGGACCCGGGAGGCAGAGGTTGCAGTGAGCCGAGATCTCGCCACTGCACTCTAGCCTGGGCAACAAGAGTGAGACTCAACTGAAACAAAACAAAACAAAACAAAAACAACAAAAAAAAAAAAACAGGGAAAGAGGTCAGCCCTAGAGAGTGACGTTGGTTTTCATTTGGAGTAGGGCTTTAGCGATGGCGTCTTTGTGGAGGTGACATTTTAAGAGTGTTCTCAGTGAAATAAGAGAGGGTGCCATGTAGTAACTGGGACAACTGCTCCTGCTTGAGGGAGAGCAGGAGGAATAGCCATGTGCCTACTCAGTGCCCAGAAAATGGACAAGAAATTAAATTGGACAGTGGAGGAGGGGAGAGGAGATGGTCACTGGTCCAGACGTCTTAGATTCTCTAGGGGCGGCCAGCCTGGCCTCTACCCAGGAGACTGAGCTGTAACCAGTTAGCAAAGGGTTTAGAAGCCATATTTAGTGAGCTAGAGTTCTCTAGGGAGGCAGCGGGGGATTTCAGGAAAGAGAACCTGGCTGTGGGTTCTGGTCCCGGTTTTGGTCCCTGTCATTGTGACTTCAGGAGCCACTTCATCTCCCTGAATCTCAGTTTCTACCCTTTTAGTAGGGTTATAAAGCCCAGCTTGCTGGTGTATTGTAGGGACAATGATATTAAGAGCCACCATTTCTTTCTTTCTTTTTTTTTTTTTTTTTTGAGACAGAGTTTCACTCTTGTTGCCCATGCTGGAGTGCAGTGGTGCGATCTCAGCTCACTGTAACCTCCACCTCCCAGGTTCAAGCAATTCTCCTGCGTCAGCCTCTCAAGTAGCTGGGATTACAGGCATGCGCCACCATGCCCAGCTAATTTTTGTATTTTTAGTAGAGACGGGGTTTCACCATGTTTGTCAGGCTGGTCTCGAACTCCTGACCTCAGATGATCTGCCTGCCTCGGCCTCCCAAAGTGCTGGAATTATAGGCATGAGCCACTATGCCCAGCCTATTATTATTATTATTATTATTATTATTATTATTATTATTATTTGAGGCAGAGTCTCACTCTGTCACCCAGGCTGGAGTGCAGTGGCATGATCTCGGTTCACTGCAGCCTCTGCCTCCTCTAGGTTCAAGTGATGCTTGTGCCTCAGCCTCCTGAGTAGCTGGAATTACAGGCACAGACTACCATGCCCAGCTAATTTTTGTATTTTTAGTAGAGACAGGGTTTCACCATGTTGGCCAGGCTGGTCTCAAACTCCTGACCTCAGGTGATCTGACTGCCTCAGCCTCTCAAATTGTTGGGATTACAGGTGTGCACCACCACGCCTGGCTAATTTTTGTATTTTTAGTAGAGATAGGGTTTTACCACATCTGCCAGGCTGGTCTCGAATTCCTGACCTCAAGTGATCTGCCAGCCTCAGCGTCCTAAAGTGCTGGGATTACAGGCTTGAGCCACCATGCCCGGCCAAAATGCTGTTTTTGATGCTGCTATGGGTAAAGCACCCACTACAGAGTCTGGCACGAGTGGTTTGCCCTGAGGGTTGCTATTGGAATGTAACTAATTAGGCCACACACATGGAATCGCTGGGTGGCCCTGAGCCCTCAGACCTCCGGTGCCCATGCTGGACTGATGCCATCAACAAGGACAGTTGGATTAGTAGTTCTTATGACTATTACTATTATTATTATTATTAAGATTCTAAAAACCACACCTATCCCTAATCCCTTTGCTACTTGGCTCTCAGGCCAGGCTCTGACCAGTCATCCCCATCTCAAGGCTAAAAAGCAGAGGAGTTGCCAAGAAAGTGGGTCCTGGGGGCTGGGTGCGGTGGCTCAGGCCTGTAATCCCTGCACTTAGGGAGGCCAAGGTGGGTGGATTACCTGTGGTCAGGAGTTCGGGACCAGCCTGGCCAACATAGTGAAACCTCATCTCTACTAAAAATACAAAAATTAGCCAGGTGTGGCGGTGGGCACTTGTACTCTCAGCTACTTGGGAGGCTGAGGTGGGAGAATCATTTGAGCGCAGGAGATGGAGGTTGCAGTGAGCGGAGATCGTGCACTTTAGCCTGGGCAACAGAGTGAGATTCCATCTCAAAGAAAAAAAAAAAAAAGTGGGTCCTAGAGGCAGATGGCCTTGGCTTGAAGCCTAGCTCTGCCACTTACAAGCTCTGTGATCTTGTGCAAGTCACTCAGCCTCTCTGTGTGTCAGTGACCTCATTTGTAACATAGAGAATCTAAGTCCTACCTCATAGGGTTGTTGCAAGGATTACAGGAGTGAATAGATGGAAGTGTTTTCAGAAAGTGCCTGGGACATCCTGTGTGCTATATAAATGTTAGCTGCTATTGTCCTTCTTGAAGACCATGGGAAGCCACTGAAGGGGGAAGGGACTGTAAGCACAGGAGGAACCCCTAGCCCCCTGGGAGCCACCTTAAACCTGGGCATCAGCAATGACAGTAGGGCTACCTCCCCTGCATTTTGCCTCCAGCAGCATGACCCCTTTGCAGCCTGTTTACCAGGAGGCACTCAGCTGTGAGCCTCTTGCCCCACTTGCTGGCACCTCCCTGTCTTGCCCAACGGTGCTTTGTGGTTTTGTCTCCATTTCCTTTGGTTGAATGACTTCGAGGTGGAGGGGTTTCTCTTGGGCAAGAGCAGTGCTTCCTCAATCACTCTGACTGCTGGGGTCTTTGCCCCTCTGTCGGGAGCCTCAGCATTGCTCAGAGCCTTCTCTCATCTCCAGAATCTTGCAAGTCACTCTCTTTCCACGTTGCCCAACATAACCCTGTAAGCCCCTCGAGTTTCTCTAGTGTTTTCCCCACACATTTTGCCAGATAAGCCTCATCAAACCAACCTTGTTAGTTAGATGGGGCCTATCACATTATTGTCTTTTGACAGATGAGGAAACAGGCCCAGAGTTGAGAAATGACTAGTTTAAGATCACACAGCAAGGAAACAGCAAAGCTGACACCCCAGTCCAGCCCTCTTTTCTACCCAACAATAAAACACCATCTAGCCTGAGCAACACAGGGAGACCCTGTCACTACAACGATAAAGTAAGCTGGGCGTGGTGACATGCACCTGTAGTCCCAGCTACTCAGGAAGCTGAGGTGGGAAGATTGCTTGAGCCCAGGAGGTTGAGGCTGCAATAAGCTGTGATCACACCACTGCACTCCAGCCTGGGCGACAGAGTGAGACCCCATTGCAAAACCAAAACACCAACCGAACAACCGCCCCCCCACCGCCCCAATAATATCTGTATGTATGGCACTGATTTTGTGCTAGGGTTTTTGTTTTGTTTTGTTTTGTTTTTTTTGAGGTGGAGTTTTGCCTTTGTTGCCCAGGGTAGAGTGCAGTGGCGCAATCTTGGCTCACTGCAACCTCCACCTCCCAGGTTCAACCAATTCTCCTGCCTCAGCCTCCTGAGTAGCTGAGACTACAGGTGCACGCCACCACACCCGGCTAATTTTTGTATTTTTAGTAGAGACGGGGTTTCATCATGTTGGCCAAGATGTTCTCCATCTCCTGACCTTATGATCCGCCCACCTCGGCCTCCCAAAGTGCTAGTATTACAGGCGTGAGCCACTGTGCCTGGCCACTGTGCTAGGTTTTAAAAGACATAACCTTATTTAATTTTCACTCAGCTAGTAAGTAGTGGAACTGAGATTCAAACCCAGGTGTTTGGGTACCAGACCCAGGATGCATACCCTTCTATCCCAACTGCTTTGCACTGGGGGGTCAAATTGCATTTGCTCTAAATTGCTGAAATCCTGTGATGTCACCCTGATTCCATTAGCACCCAGCTGGGCTGCGCTGCTGAAACAGCTTTGGATGTTGGCTTCCCTATCTTGGAATGAATTTAACACCCCATGGCCTGACCGCCCAGCAAGGCGTATATTATGACCGTAAAGTCGTTTGCCACACAGAAGTAATATACGGCCAAATGTTAAAATGCAACCTTGAAGAGAAGAGTCTGAGAGACACTCTCACACCAAGTCAAACATGCCAAGCTTGGCTGCCGGTGCCGTGCTGGGCTACACTGAGATGAGGCTGTGCTCAGGCCGGGCATGGTGGCTCACGCCTGTAATCCCAGTACTTTGGGATGCTGAGGCGGGTGGATCACCTGAAGTCAGGAGTTTGAGACTAGCCTGGCCAACATGGTGAAACCCTGTCTCTACTAAAATTACAAAAATTAGCTGGACATGGTGGTGAGTGCCTGTAATCCCAGCTACTCATAAGGCTGAAGCAGGAGAATCCCTTGGACCCGGGAAGTGGAGGTTGCAGTGAGCTGAGATTGCACCACTGCACTCCAGCCTGGGCGACAGAGGGAGATTCCATCTCAAAAAATGATAATAATAATTAATTAATTAATTAATTAATTGAATTATACAACACGTGGCCTTTTGTGGCTGACTTCTTCCACTTTTTTTTTTTTTTTTTTGAGACAGTGTCCTACTCTGTTGCCTAGGCTGTAGTGCAGTGGTATGATCTCAGCTCACTGCAATCTCCGCCTCCCCGGTTCAAGCGCTGCTCAGCGCCTCAGCCTCCCGAATAGCTGGAACTACAGGTGTGCACCACCACGCCTGGCTAATTTTTGTATTTATAGTAGAGACAGGATTTCACTGTGTTGGCCAGGGTGGTCTCGAACTCCTGACCTCAGGTGATCTGCCTGCCTTGGTCTCCCAAAGTGCTGGAATTACAGGCCCGAGCCACTGCACCCAGCCTGACTTCTTCCACTTAGCATGACGCTTTCAAGGTTCATGTGTGTATTACCATGTATAATCACTTCATTCTTTTTTATTATCAAATAATACTCCATTATATGTATATGACACATTTTGTTTATCCATTCTTCAGTTCATGGACATTGTTTTCCATGTTTTCACTATTATGAATAACACTGCTATGAACACTCATTCATATACATTTATATACAAGTTTTTTGTAGGCATATGGTTCCACCTCTCTTTGGCAGAATCTTCTACCTAGGAGTAGGAATTTCTAGGTGATAAGGCTGGGTGCGGTGGTTCATGCCTGTAATCCCAGCACTTTGGGAGGGCGAAGAGTTCGAGACCAGCCTGGCCAACATAGAGAAACCTCGTCTCTACAAAAAACACACAAAAAATTACCTGGGCGCTGCTGCGTGTGGTGGCTTATGCCTGTAATCCCACCACTTTGGGAGGCTGAGGAGGGAGGATCACAAGGTCAGGAGTTCGAGACCAGCCTGGCCAACATAGAGAAACCTCGTCTCTACAAAAAACACACAAAAAATTACCTGGGCGCTGCTGCGTGTGGTGGCTTATGCCTGTAATCCCACCACTTTGGGAGGCTGAGGTGGGAGGATCACAAGGTCAGGAGTTCGAGACCAGCCTGGCCAATATGGGGAAACCCCATCTCTACTAAAAATACAAACATTAGCCGGGCACGGCCAGGCGAGGTGGTGGGTGCCTGTAGTCCCAGCTACTCTGGAGGCTGAGGCAGGAGAATGGCGTGAACCCTGGAGGCAGAGGTTGCAGTGAACCAAGATTGTACCACTGCACTCCAGCCTGAGCGACAGAGCCCACTCTGGCTCAAAAAAAAAAAAAAAAAAAAGTCAGCGGGCACAGTGGCTCATGCCTGTAATCCCAGCCCTTTGAGAGGCCAAGGTGGGTGGATCAGCTGAGGTCAGTAGTTCGAGACCAGTCTGGCCAACACAGTGAAACCTTATCTCTACTAAAAATACAAAAAATTACCTGGGCATAGTGGTGGGCGCTACTCGGGAGGCTGAGGCAGGAGAATCGCTTGAACCCAGGAGGCAGCGGTTGCAGTGAGCCGCACTCCAGCCTGGGCAACAAGAGCGAAACTCCATCTCAAAAAAAAAAAAATTTCTAGGTAATAAGGTAACTCTATGTTTAAGGGTTTTTTTTGTGTGTGTGTTTATTTGTTTGTTTGTTTTTTAGATAGAGTCTTGCTCTGTTGCCCAGGCTGGAGTGTAGCAGCAGGATCTCAGCTCACTGCAACCTCTGTGACCTGGGTTCAGGTGATCCTCCCACCTCAGCCTCTCGAGTAGCTGAGGTTGCACCACCGCGCCTGGCTAATTTTTCTATTTTTAGTAGAGACAGGGTTTCACAATGTTGGCCAGGCTAGTCTTGAACTCCTGACCTCAAGTGATCCACTCACCTCGGCCTCCCAAAGTGCTGGGATTTTTTTTTTTTTTTTTTTTTTTTTTTGAGACGGAGTCTCGCTCTGTCGCCCAGGCTGGAGTGCAGTGGCGGGATCTCGGCTCACTGCAAGCTCCGCCTCCCGGGTTCACGCCATTCTCCTGCCTCAGCCTCCCGAGTAGCTGGGACTACAGGCGCCCGCCACTACGCCCGGCTAATTTTTTGTATTTTTAGTAGAGACGGGGTTTCACCGTTTTAGCCGGGATGGTCTCGATCTCCTGACCTCGTGATCCGCCCGCCTCGGCCTCCCAAAGTGCTGGGATTACAGGCGTGAGCCACCGTGCCCGGCCCAAAGTGCTGGGATTATAGGTGAGAGCCACCACGCCCAGCTGGGCTCTATGTTTAATATTTTCAGGAACTGCCACAGTGTTTTCCAAAGTGGCTGCACTTTTTTACAATCCCACCAGCAATATATGAGTGTTCCAATATCTCCACCGTTTTGATTTACCCATTTCCTGTTAAAGCTTCCCAGTGGAAACTGAAACTCCCACTTGAGCAATGCAAGGTGAACAAAATATGCAATGATGGCTGGGTGCGGTGGCTCACGCCTGTAATCCCAGCACTTTGGGAGGCCAAGGCGGGAGGATCACGAGGTCAGGAGTTCGAGACCAGCCTGACCAACATGGTGAAACCCCGTCTCTACTAAAAATATAAAAATTGGCCAGGTGTGGCTGGGCGGGGTGGCTCACGCCTGTAATCCCAGCACTTTGGGAGGCCGAGGCAGGCGGATCACGAGGTCAGGAGATCGAGACCATCCTGGTTAACATGGTGAAACCCCATCTCTACTAACATTACCCGGGCTCGGCCAAGCGTGGTGGTGGGAGCCTGTAGTCCCAGCTACTCGGGAGGCTGAAGCAGGAGAATGGCGTGAACCTGGGAGGCGGAGCTTGCAGTGAGCCAAGATGGCACCACTGCCCTCCAGCCTGGGCAACAGAGCAAGACTCCATCTCAAAAAAAAAAATTTAGCCAGGTGTGGTGGCATGCGCCTGTAATCCCAGCTACTCAGGAGGCTGAGGCAGTGAGGCAGGAGAATTGCTTGAACCCAGGAGGCAGAGGCTGCAGTGAGCCAAGAACACACCATTGCACTCCAGCCTGGGCAATAGAGCAAGACTCCATCTCAAAAAAAAAAAAATGCAATGATGGTGATGTGTTGAAGCAAGTCTCTCCTTGGACCCTTGGAAACAGAGGCTGGCCCATCCCAAGTGTCCTTGGAAATCACTTAACCTCTCTGAGCCAGTTTTCTCTAGAGACCTAAAGTGAGATCTAATAATAGAGATCACAGGAGAGTAAAGTTTGAAAAGTTTTGGGCTCCTGGCCTCCTTTTCCTTTTTCTTCTTTTTTTCACTTCTAATGGTACTTGGACATTTCCTTTTTTTTGAGACGGAGTCTCACTCTGTTGCCCAGGCTGGAGTGCAGTGGCGTGATCTTGGCTCACTGCAAGCTCCGCCTCCTGGGTTCAAGTGATTCTCCTGCCTCAGCCTCCTGAATAGCTGGGATTACAGGTGTGCACCACCACGCCCAGCTAATTTTTGTATTTTTAGTAGAGACGAGGTTTCACCATGTTGGCCGGGCTGGTCTCAAACTCCTGACCTCAGGTGATCCACCCGCCTCAGCCTCCCAACTTTCTGGGATCACAGGTGTGAGCCACAGCACCTGGCTTTACTTATTTATTTATTTTTTTAAGTCATCTACTCCATCTCTTCTTGTCTGAAATGGCTTAGACTTGTAAACTTTGCCTTTCTGTGTCTTCAATTCTTCTTCTATAAGAAGGAGATTAGACATCATATCACGGGGTTATTGTCACGATAAGATGGCAAACATGCAATAAATGGTAGATGTTATTATTATTATTATTATTATTATTATTTGAGACAGAGTCTCTCTCTGTTGCCCAGGCTGCAGTGCAGTGGCATGATTTTGGCTCACTGCAACCTCCACCTCCCAGGCTCAAGCAATTCTCTGCCTCAGCATCCCAAGTAGCTGGGATTACAGGCACCTGCCAGCACGCCTGGCTAATTTTTGTATTTTTAGTAGAGATGGTGTTTCACCATCTTGGCCAGGCTGGTCCTGAACTCCTGACCTCGTAATCCACCTGCCTTGGCCTTACCAAAGTTCTGGGATTACAGGGGTGAGCCACCGCGCCCGGCCGTTACTATTATTATTATTTTATTTATTTATTTATTTTGAGATGGAGTATCGCTGTGTCACCCAGGCTGGAGTGCAATGGCATGATCTCGGCTCACTGCAACCTCCTCCTGGGTTCAAGTGATTCTCTTGCCTCAGCCTCCCGAGTAGCTGGGATTACAGGCACCTGCCACCACGCCCAGCTGATTTTTGTATTTTTAGTAGAGATGGGGTTTCACCAGGTTGACCAGGCTGGTCTCGAACTCGTGACCTCAGGTCATCCACCCGCCTCGGCCTCCCAAAGTGCTGGGATTACAGGTGTGAGGCACTGTGCCCAACCGGTAGATGTTATTATTAAAATACAGGAAGATCTGTTCATTCCACCACTACTGACCAAGTTCCTATTAAGTGCCAGTTCCTGTGATACGAAGATGATTGAGACCCTTGAAATTTGTGGCTCACAGGTTGGTGGAGCAGACATATAAAAAAATCATTATGCCCCAGTATGGCAAGTGCCATAAAAGAAGTGTGTTTAAAGTTCTTTGTGGTTGGAGAGGAAAGGGTGTGGCAAGAAGGGTCAAGCAGAAGGAAGTGGCGATCGGAAGAGCTGGGTGGCACTGGGGCAGGTGGGAGAGGTCCCTTTTCTGCAGAGTGGATGGTGAGGTCTGATGGATTCCTGAGCTGTGGGGTTCCTCTTGGCTATACCCCACCTACCCACATCTGGGACCCAGAAGTGACCTGCATGCACTCAGGCTGGAAGGCTGAACTTTGGCCTAGAAATCCAGATCAGATAAGGGCTTGACACCCTCCCAGAGCACACACCCAAACCTCTGTGTATCCAAGTTCAGGTGGCCATAGGGCACGGTGGACACCATGAATAGTGGGTGTATGAGGGGAAAAGAGACATGTGCCATGAGTTGGATTGGGGAGGGAGGCAGAATGGCACAGAGAAAAGGGTTTCGAGTTATGACTCTGCTATTTAATAGCCTTGTGATCTCTGTGGCAAGTCACAACGGCTCACTCTGGCCTCAGTTCACTCATCTGCAAAATGGGGCTAAACACAACCCTCCTCAAACAGTAAACATCAAGATGAAGCGAGGTGGCATGAAAATGCTATTGCAAAAGCCAAATGCTGTACACCTGCGGGAAGGTTCGTTATTATCTGATGAATGAATCAATGAAATGTAGCTTATCCATACAATGAAATGGCATTCGGCAATAGAAAGGAATGAAATACTGATAGATGCTACGACATGGATGAACCCTGAAATCATCATGCTAGATCAAAGAAGCCAGACACAAAAGATCACATATTGTATGATTCCATTTATACGGAATGTCCACAATAGGCAAATTATCTGTAGAGTCAGAAGGTAGATTAATGGTTGCCTAGCGCTGGGGGAGGAGGCTGAGGGAAAACAGGAAGTGACTGTTCATGGATATGGAGTTTCTTTAGGGTGATGAAAATGTTCAGGAATTACTGGTCATGACTGCACAGCTCTGTGAATATACTAAAAACAACTGAGTTGTAAGGTGTGTGAATTTTATCCCAATAACGCTGTTTAAAAAAACAGAAGCATGGGCTGGGTGCGGTGGCTCCCACCTGTAATCCTGGCACTTTGGGAGGCCAAGGTGGGCGGATCACGAGGTCAGAGATCGAGACCATCCTGGCTAACACAGTGAAAGCCCGTCTCTACTAAAAAATACAAAAAATTAGCTGGGTGTGGTGGTGGGCACCTGTAGTCCCAGCTACTCGGGATCAAATGATCTGCCTGCCTAGGCCTCCCAAAGTGCTGGGATTACAGCTGTGAGCCACCGTGCCCAGCCCACATAGATTCTTATTTCAATTTAGTAGCTTATTTGTTTATTCATGCCATGGACATTTATTGAGGGTCTTGCAGAGTGCTAGGTTCCGTGCCATGTACTTGGGATATAAGCATAAAGCACTCGTCTGTCTTTAGGAAGCTCATGACCTCCTTGTCCAGGGGTAGGCAAGCTGACAGCATGAGAATGCTACGACAGAAGCAACCCTAAGGCCAGGTGGGGTGGCCTTGACTCTAATCCAAGCACTTTTGGAGGCTGAGGCAGGAAGATTGTTTGAGGCTAAGAGTTTGAGATCAGCATGGGCCGTATAGAAAGACCCCATCTCTACGAAAAATAAATTAGCTGACTGTAGTAGCACGTGTCTATAGTCCCAGCTACCTGGGAGGCTGAGGCAGGAGGATCACTTGAACCTGTGAGGTTAAGGCTCCAGTGAGCCAAGATCACGTGACTACACTCCAGTCTGGGCAAGAGAGTGAGAGCGTGTCTCAAAAAAACATAAAACAGAAGCAACCCCAAGTACAATGGGACCACAGAGGAGAACATCCATGCCAGGCTGCAGGATCCAGAGAGGCCTCCAGAAGGAGTTACCACACTCAAAGACTCAAGGGGCAGTGGGGAAGTGTTAATGGTATGCAGACCAGGGTGAGCCCTAGATGGACAGTGTTGTGAATCAGGCACGGGAACCATTGCATCAGATTCCTGGAATGTTTGTTGAGTGCACGCTAGAGAGGGGGCCCTGAGCGCCCATCCAGGGAAGGAGGAGGTGTGGTCCTTCAGGTGGAGGGCACAGACCTGGTGCTCAGTGATCATTTGCTGAATGAATGGTATGAAATGTGGGTGTTCAGGACTCACCACCTGAGGTACTGGTTTAATTAAAATCTCCCTAGGTGGTTGGGCACGGTGGCTCATGTGTGTAATCCCAGCACTTTAGAGGCTGAGGGAGAGGGACTGCTTGAGCCCGGGAGTTTGAGACCAGACCAGGCAACAAAGCAAGACCCATTCTCTACAAAAAAATAAAACAATGAGCTGGGTATGATGGCATGTGCCTGTAGTCTTAGCTTCCTGGGAGGCTGAGGTGGGAGGATTCCTTGAGCCCAGGAATTTAAGGTTGCAGTGTGCTATGACTGCGCCACTGCACTCCAACCTGGGCGACGGAGTGGGACCCTGCCTCTTAAAATAAAATTTAAAAAAAAACCTCCCTAGAGATTCTGATGTCTGATGCATTAAAAACTCCTCAGCACAACCACAAGACACTTTCTGATTAAGCCAGTGCTTTGAACACTTTAATATGATGCCAGCCACCTGGGGGCTTGTTAACATGCAGATTCAGAATCAGTGGGTCTGGGCTGGATCTTCAGACTCTGCATTTGTTTTCTTTCTTTTTTTTTTTTTTTGAGACTGTGCAGTGGCCTGATCATGGCTCACTGCAGCCTCAATCTCTCAGGCCCAGGTGATCCTTCCACCTCAGCTTTCTGAGTAGCTGGAACTACAGGCATGTGACACCACCATGCCTGGATAATTTTTTTTTTTTTTTTTTTGAGACAGAGTCTCGCTCTGTCGCCCAGGCTGGAATGCACTGGCGCGATCTCGGCTCACTGCAAGCTCCGCCTCCCGGGTTCACTCCATTCTCCTGCCTCAGCCTCCCGAGTAGCTGGGACTACAGGCGCCCGCTACCACACCCAGCTAGTTTTTTTGTATTTTTAGTAGAGACAGGGTTTCACCATATTGGCCAGGCTGGTCTCAAACTCCTGACCTCGTGATCCGCCCGCCTCGGCCTCCTAAAGTGCTGGGATTACAGGCATGAGCCACCATGTCCAGCTGAGACTGCATTTCTAAAGGCTCCAGGTGAGGTTGCTGCTGTGATGCTGAGGGTCCCAGGACTGCATATCTGCTGCAGGGCCTTGCCCCTTCCAACTCCTGCTGCCTTCTTGACATTCCCTCCCCTTTCACTGAGCTTGTGCACAGACTGTCTTCTCCCCTCTGGGCTACGCACCCAGTTTTTCCTGTCTGGAATGAGCTGCTATTCCCCCTTACCCTACACACCCCATCTCCTCTTTCCCCAACAGCACCCTGTGCTGAAGCCTTCGCAGGATTTACCAGGCTGACCTGTTAGTACCTGCATGGATGTCTTCAGAGCAGAGACTGTGGATTGTCTATCACCAAGTTCCAGCACCTGGTACAGGATCTGGCAAATCACAAGCCCTCAGGAAATATCTGGGGAATGAAAAATGAACCTCTGAGAGGAGATAAGATAGAAAGACGCATAATCATCATGACATCATCATAGCAAATACCACTTGGCACTTACTCTGTGCTGGCCCTGTTGTTGGTGCTTGACATTTAGTTAAGTCATTTAATTCCCACAACAACCCAGTTTTGTAGGGATTATCATCAACCTTATTTTATTTTAATTAATTATTTGAGATGGAGTCTCTCACTCTGTTGCCCAGGCTAGAGTGCAGTGGCATGATCTCGGCTCATTGCAACCTCTGCCTCCTGAGGTCAGGAGTTCAAGATCAGCCTGGCCAACAGGGCAAAACCCCGTCTTTACTAAAAATACAAAAGTTAGCCAGGTGTGGTGGCACGTGCTTGTAATCCCAGCTACTAGGTAGGAGAATCCCAGCTGAGGTAGAAGAATCGCTTGAACCCAGGAGGCAGAGGTTGCAGTGAGCCGAGATCACGCCATTGGACTCCAGCCTGGGTGACAAGAGCGAAACTCGTCTCAAAAAGCAAACAAATGAACAAACAGAAGAACAACTCCGTAAGTTTGTGCCAAGCTGATGCTTACAGCTGGGCTTCAGGACCATTAACTGAGGATGCAGAAGATACAGGTGGCAGTTGGAAGAGACAGTGGGGGAGGGCCTTGTTGAGAAGCTAAGGTCATGGTGTGGAGGGGAGGAAAGGAGGGCAAGTATCAGAGTGGGACAAGAGTGCTGGGGAGGACAGGATGGCTGGGTAAGATGGTGGCGAGGAGTGATGGGTCCTGGGAGCCAGGGAAGAGGGAGGAGAAGGACTGCGCATGAGTGTGGTTGACAGAGAGAGGCTGGAAACCTGAATGGAGCAGGAAGTCAGGCATGCAGACAGGTTTGGCAAGAACCAGGATGGTGGGAGCGGGGCTAGACACTGTGTGCTGGATTTAAGGAGAAGGCAGTTAAACAATAGGGAAACACGCCAAAAATCTTGAACTTGAGAGTAGAACTACAGGTAACAAAGGTGTTTTGTTATTCTTTTTAATGTTTTCTAACTTTTAAAATGAGCATGTATTCTTTTGTATCTATATTTGAATTTATAGCATAATTTTTCACATTAAAAATGGATTTACTTTAATAGGCAATACAGCCGGGCGTGGTGGCTTTACGCCTGTAATCCCCAGCATTTTGGAGGGCCGAGGTGGAAGGATGGCTTAAGCCCAGGAGTTGAAGACCAGCCTGGGCAAAAAAGTGAGACCTCCTCCCATCTCTACAATAAAATACAAAAATTGGCCAGGTGCTACTCTGGGCACACTGCCTATAGGGTAGCCCTGCTCTGCAAGGCCAGTACTAGGAGGGAAAAAGAAAAAGAAAACAAAGGAACAAACAAAACAAGGAAAAAAAGAAAAAAAAATTAGTGGGGCATGGTGGTGAGTCCCTGTAGTCTCAGCTACTCGAGATGCTGAGGTGGGAGATTGCTTGAGTCCAGGAGGTTGAGGCTGCAGTAAGAGTGAGCCATGATCAGGCCACTGCAGCTCCAGCCTGGGTGACACAGAGCTCACTGCAGCCTTCACCTCCTGGGCTCAAGTGATCCTTCTACCTCAGCCTCCTGAGTAGCTGGAACTACAGCCGTGCACCACTCCGCCTGGGTAATTTTTGTATTTTTTTGTAGAGACAGGATTTCGCCATGTTTCCTGGGCTGGTCTCCTGGACTCAAGTGATTCCTCCACCCCTGGCCTCCCAAAATGCTGGTATTACAGGCATGAGCCACCACACCCTGCCCTTTTATCTTTTCCTTCTTCTTCCTTTTTTTTGTTTTTGAGACAGAGTCTCGCTCTGTAGCCCAGGCTGGAGTGTAGTGGCGAGATCTTGGCTCACTGCAACCTCTGCCTCCCGGGTTCAAGCGATTCTCCTGCCTCAGCCTCCCGAGTAGCTGGGATTACAGGTGCCCGCTACCACCCCGGCTAATTTTTTGTATTCTAGTAGAGATGGGGTTTCACCGTATTGCTCAGACTGGTCTTGAACTCCTGAGCTCAGTCAATCCGCCCACCTCGGCCTCCCAAAGTGCTGGTATTACAGGCGTGAGCCACCACGGCTGGCCCCATTTTTCTTAATGTAGATGTTCTTGGTAACTTCTGGGTACATATTCTTTGTTAGATATATGTATTGTAAATATTTTCTACCAGTCTATGATTTGATTTTTCACTCTTTTAAATGTGTCTTTTGATGAACAGAAGTTACTAATAATAATGAGGTTCAATTTAATAATCATCCATCTCTTATGGCTTATACTTTTTTTGTGTGTCTTAAGAAATTTTGGTCTACTTCAAGGTCATGAAGATATTCTCCTATGCTTTTTTTTTTTTTTTTTTTTGAGACGGAATTTTGCTCTTGTTGCCCAGGCTGGAGTGCAATGTTGCGATCTCGGCTCACTACAACCTCTGCCTCCCCGGTTTAAGCGATTCTCCTGCCTCAGCCTCCTGAGTAGCTGGGATTACAGGCGCATGCCACCATGCCTGGCTAATTTTTGTATTTTGGTAGAGACAGGGTTTCATCATATTGGTCAGGCTGGTCTTGAATCCCTGACCTCAGGTGATCCGCCCACCTCGGTCTCTCAAAGTGCTGGGATTACAGGCGTGAGCCACCACGCCCGGTTGATATTCTCCTATGCTTTCTTTTAGATGTTTTATTGTTTTTACATTTAGGTCTCTGATCCATCCTAAACTATGTTCATTAATGGTGTGGTCGGGTCACGATTCATGTTTCCCTATGTGGGTATGTAATTGACCTACTACCATTTATTCAAAAGACCATTCTACCCTGACTTGTTTGCAGTGACACTATTATAATAAGTCAGGTGACCATGTACATGTAGATCTCTCGATTTCATTTTATTTTATTATTATTTTTTTTGAGACGGAGTCTCACTCTGTCACCCAGGCTGGAGTGCAATGGGATGATCTTGGCTCACTGTAACCCCCGCCTCCTGGGTTGAAGTGATTCTCCTGCCTCAGCCTCCTGAGTAGCTGGGATTACTGGTGTGTGTCACCACGCCTGGCTAATTTTTGTACTTTTAGTAGAGACAGGGTTTCACCATGTTGGCCAGGCTGGTCTTGAACTCCTGAAATCGTGATCCACCGGCCTCAGCCTCCCAAAGTGCTGGGATTACAGGTGTGAGCCACTGTGCCCAGCCATGTAAAGATTTGAAGGAAATAATGAGTTTTTTTTTTTTTTGAAAGAGTCTTGCTCTGTTGCCCAGGTTGGAGTGCAGTGGTGTGATCTCGGCTCACTGCAACCTCCGCCTCCCGGGTTCAAGTGATTCTCTGGCCTCAGCCTCCCTAGTAGCTGGGATTACAGGCGCATGTCACCATGCCTGGCTAATTTTTCTATTTTTAGTAGAGACGGGGTTTTGCCATGTTGGCCAGGCTGGTCTTGAACTCCTGACCTCAAGTGATCTGCCCGCCTCTGCCTCCCAAAGTGCTGGGATTATAGGCGTGAGCCACCGCGCCTGGCATAGGAGGTTTGTTAATAGTAGCTGTGATGGGGTTGTAAGCTTATGGGTGATTTTTCTTTTCTTTTTTTTTTTTTTGGTATACTCCACACCGAACGTAGTATTAATACTCAGACAAAATGAATAAATATTTTTCTTTTTTTTTTTTTTTGAGACAGAGTCTCGCTCTGTCGCCCAGGCTGGAGTGCGGTGGCGTGATCTCGGCTCACTGCAAGCTCCGCCTCCCGGGTTCACACCATTCTCCTGCCTCAGCCTCCCGAGTAGCTGGGACTACAGGCACCCGCCACCACGCCCGGCTAATTTTTTGTATTTTCTAGTAGAGACGGGGTTTCACCATGTTAGCCAGGATGGTCTCGATCTCCTGACCTCGTGATCCACCCGCCTCAGCCTCCCAAAGTGCTGGGATTACAGGCGTGAGCCACCATGCCTGGCCAGAAATGTTTTTCAAAATCTACAGGAGTAGAAACTATTAAGGGTGCAGGTTCTTAGAGGCTGGAAAAGGGGTTAGGCTTATGCAAGTGAGAGGGCTACCTTAGCTAAAGGACTCATGTTGCCTAGGGGATGGGGAGGAAAGAATTCAGGGCCTGCCTGATGGAGGCCTTTTGTCTTATTAGTGACCTTAAGTTTTCCCTGGAGAGGGTGATGCTCAGAGGCCGGGGGCATGAGGAAAATGAAAATAATCATACCAATAATGCTCTGTTGTATGTGCGCATTGCTTAGTGGTTTATAAAACACTTTCAGGTCCATAGTCTCCTGTGTTCCTCCCAACAGTCCTGTGGGCTGGGCCAGGCCCAGTGATCACATTCATTTTGCAGATAAGGAAACAGGCTCTCTGAGTCCTGCTTAAGCATTCACTAAAGGCCATTTTATGTCAGGCCTTATGCTAGTTCTGGGCCCAGAGAGACAAATAGGGCTCAGTCCCTGACTGTCCACAGGCAGCTTCCAGCCTGGGCGGAAAAAGCAGAAAGTGAATGAATGATTAAAACTCAATGTGTAAATACAATGAGAGAATAGATACCAGAGAATGGAGTACAGAGGAGGAGTTCCTAACTGGTCTTGAGAGTCAGGAAAGATGTTTTAGAAGTGGTGACATCTGGCCGGGCGCGGTGGCTCACACCTGTAATCCCAGCACTTTGGGAGGTCGAGGCGGGTGGATCACAAGGTCAGGAGTTCGAGACCAGCCTGGCCAATATGGTGAAACCTCGTCTCTACTGAAAATACAAAAAAATTAGCCGGGCATGGTGGCACATGCCTGTAATCCCAGCTACTTGGGAGGCTGAGGCAGGAGAATTGCTTGAATCCGGGAGGCAGAGGTTGCAGTGAGCCAAGATCGCGCCACTGCACTCCAGCCTGGGTGACAGAGCGAGATTCCGTCTCAGAAAAAAAGGAAGTGGTGACATCAACATGAGTCTTTTTATTTTTTAATTTTTTTTAGATGAAGTCTCACTCTGTTGCCTAGGCTGGAATACAGATGTGTGATCTCAGCTCACTGCAACCTCCGCTTCCTGGGTTCAAGCGATTCTCCTGCCTCAGCCTCCTGAGTAGCTGGGATAACTGGTGCATGCCACCACGTCCAGCTAACTTTTGTATTTTTAGTAGAGATGGGGTTTCGCCATGTTGGCCAGGCTGGTCTCGAACTCCTGACCTCAGGTGATCCACCCGTCTCAGCCTCCCAAAGTGCTGGGATAACAGGTGTGAGCCACCATACCTAGAATGAAATGAGTCTTTCAATTTTTGTATTTTTTCTTTCTTCTTCTTTTTTATTTTTATTTTTTCCAGAAACAGGGTCTTGCTTTGTTGACCAGGCTGGAGTGCAGTGGCATGCTCACAGCTCATTGCAGCCTCAAACTCCTGGGCTCAAGCAATCCTCCCACCTCAGCCTCCTGAGTAGCTAGGACTGCAGGCAAGTACTACCATGCCCAACTAAGTGTGTATGTATATTATAGGCGTGAGCGACCACACCAGGACAAAATCATGTTGTAACAGCATTCTATAAATTTGCTCTTCCTCACTTAGTAGATTTTCTTTTTCTTTTCTTTTTTGAGGCAAGGTCTTACTCTGTTGCCCAGGCTGGAGTGCAGTGGCACGATCAAGGCTCACTGTAGTCTCAACCTCCCAGGCTCAAGCAATCCTCCCAGCTAAGCCTCCTGGGTAGCTGGGAATACAGATGTGCGCCACCATGGCAGTCTAGTTTTTGTATTTTTTGTAGAGATGGGATTTTGCGATGTTACCCAGGATGGTCTTGAACTCCTGGGCTCAAGCAATCCTCCCACCTTACCTCCCAAAGTGCTGGGACTACAGGCATGAGCCACTGCGTCTGGCCACTTAGTATATTTTCAATCAGCAAATACAAATCTACATAAAAATTTTAATGACTTTTTTTGTACTTTTCGACATATGACTATATCACAATGTATTCAATCTTGTAATATATTGTACATTTATTTCTAACATTTAGTGACTATAAACAATGTTGCAAAGAACTTTTTTTTTTTTTTTTTTTTTTTTTTTTTTGAGACGGAGTCTCGCTCTGTCGCCCAGGCTGGAGTGCAGTGGCGGGATCTCGGCTCACTGTAAGCTCCGCCTCTCGGGTTCACGCCATTCTCCTGCCTCAGCCTCCCAAGTAGCTGGGACTACAGGCGCCCGCCACTACGCCCGGCTATTTTTTGTAGTTTTAGTAGAGACGGGGTTTCACCGTTTTAGCCGGGATGGTCTCGATCTCCTGACCTCGTGATCCGCCCGCCTCGGCCTCCCAAAGTGCTGGGATTACAGGCGTGAGCCACCGCGCCCGGCTGCAAAGAACTTTAAAGTTCATATCTGTGTACTTTTCTAATGTCTTTTAAGATGAATTCTCAGATAGAATTGATCAATTTACTTTCTCATCTGTATCTATAAACCTGACCAATATTGAGCATTTTTTTTTTAATTAGGTGAAAATGGCATTTTATGTTGTTTTGTTTGCATTTCTTATGGCTTTTTAAAAATAATTATTGGCCATTTATAATTCTTCTTTAAAATCACCTGTTCCTGTTTTTGGCCATTTTTATTTTGGAGTCTTTGAGGTTTTTCTTTTTCTTTTTCTTTGTTTTTTTTTTTTTTGAGGCGGAGTTATGCTCTTGTTGCCCAGGCTAGAGTGCAGTGGTACGATCTCTGCTCACTGCAACCTCCGCCTCCCGGGTTCAAGCGATTCTCCTGCCTCAGCCTCCTGAGTAACTGGGATTACAAGCATGGGCCACCATGCCCGGCTAATTATTTTGTATTTTTAGTAGAGACGGGGTTTCTCCACGTTGGTCAGGCTGCCCTTGAACTCCCAACCTCAGGTGATCCGCCCGCCTCGGCCTCCCAAAATGTTGGGATTACAGGCATGAGCCACGCGCCCGGCCGAGGTTTTTCTTATCAACTGGGAAGAGATCTTTATATATTGCTGATAGTAATTTGTCACAGAGTTGCAAAATCTTTTTTTCCCAGCTTTCTTTTGCCTTTAGAACATAGCTTTTTTCTGAAGTTAATTTGGAAGAATAGTCATGATAGCAAGCACATTCCAGTAAGAAAGAGTAATGATGAGAAATTTGCCCTCATAGATATAGAATGTATTATAAAGGTATCTTCATTAAAGCATGGTGGGATTGGCACAGGTGCACACAGAGAGATCAATGTATACAAGTCAGAAACAGCTTCAAGTATAATAGTTCTATAGGCGATGAAGGTGCCAACTAAAATCAGTGGAGAAAACAGTGTTTGGACAAGTGGCTATTACAAAAATTATCTTAGGTTTCTTCCTTACCCCAAAAATAAATTCCAAATGGATCAAAAGATTTTTCATTTAAAAATGAAAACATTTTTTATCCTCTTGTAGTGGACAGTAACAAAAAAAAAGTGCAATTTGTAACAAGTACCTGAAAGGATGTATGCGAGTTAATGACATGGAGGTGAAGAGAGGCTCGGAAGGGTATTCCAGGTGGAGAGAACGGCCAGAGCGAAGGTTTGGAGGCTGAAAGGCAGCAACGTGCGGATCCTAAAGAGGCAGGGTCAGGAATCGAACTCAAGACGCTCACAATGGAATCCAGGGCTGAGTCCATGCCCGCCCCCACAGGGATCATAATTATGTAAAATAGCATTTTTCCCATATATGGTACTTAATATCTGTCCTTGTGGTGGGATGACATGAGACTGAGAGCACAGCTCGCGGGGCGGGGTGTCAGAGTTCCAGACCTTCCCAGTCGGCTCCCGCAGGGCCTCGCCCCGGCCCAGGCAAGGCACCAAAACCCCGGCCCGGAGCTCTCCGCGCCCCGAGTCGCCGCCTCCTGATTGGATTCCCCCTGTGTCAATCCTTGTCCTAGAACCTGGCTGTCCGTTGGACCCGCCCTAGAGGGCGGGGCTCCCGCCTAGGAAGCGCGGGGGAAGGTGGAGCGGGTGGAGGTGGGGCGGAAAGAGGATGTTGAATCCCCACCCATCTGGCCGCAGAGGCTCCGCCCACCCCCTTTCCACAGGCCAATACGTCTGCCCATCAAGGCCAGGCGCGGCCTGCAGTGGGTGTAGCAGGAAGGGGGCGGGATTGTGCCCCAGGCTCCGCCCCGGAGCCGGCTCCCGGCTGGGAATGGTCCCGCGGCTCCGAGGGCGGGGCGGGAAGGCGGCGAGGAGCCGAGCTGGGTGCGGTGAGGCGCGCAGATCACCGCGGTTCCTGGGCAGGGCACGGAAGGCTAAGCAAGGCTGACCTGCTGCAGCTCCCGCCTCGTGCGCTCGCCCCACCCGGCCGCCGCCCGAGCGCTCGAGAAAGTCCTCTCGGGAGAAGCAGCGCCTGTTCCCGGGGCAGATCCAGGTTCAGGTGAGCGAGCCCCACCGCGGTCCCGCCCCGGGCAGGCGGCGGCGGGCGGGCGGGGGCGAGACGCGCTGCCGCCAGGCCGACTGGTGGTTCTTGGGCTCAGTGCGGCCCGCCACCCGCGCGGGCGGGGGCGAACGCCGGCGGCTCAGGGCCCGGCACCGCATCCTTCCCAGGGGGACCGGGACCCCCACGCGGGCGCTCGGGGAGGGCGCCGGCAGCAGCGAGGCCTAGGGGTGCAGGGGCGGCCTCGGGACCCGGCGCTCCCCGGCGCCCCCCGTGTCCCCCGGCGCGGTCTCAGGACTGGGCACTGGAGCCGACCTCCCCCAGCCGCTGGGGCACGCGCCCCGCCCTCGCCTCGCCCAGGCCCGACTCGGGCAAACTTTTTAACCCCTTCCGGGAGCCGCGGCCCCTGGGACGCAGCCTCACGGGTTGGGAGCCCGGGGCAGCCGCTCCCGTGGAAGTTTCTGGCGTCTGAGGCACGGAGGTAACGGGCAGCGGGCACCGTTTGGCAGCTGTCAGGGCGTCCTCCTGAGTCAGAGTCGGACCGTCCCGCTGCAGACCTTGCACCCGGCCCGGTTTCCGCCTCCGCGGCCGACTTCCTCATTCGCCCGCTGCCGTCGGACTGGTCGGGGAGGGCCCGGGGGAGGTGCGGCGGCTGCCCGGACAAGGGGGACCCGGCGGGGACCCGGGCGCGAGACAGGAAGGGCCACCCCCAGTCCCTGCTCCAGCCCTCGACCTCCGACTTCTGATCCTCGGGGGAGGGAGGCCCGGAATGCAGCAGCCGTCGGGGCCGCCCAGGCGTGCACCTGATTCCACCGCACCCAGGGGCCATCCCGTCTGGGCGGGGTGCGGGGGCAGCTAGCTCTGCCGTTACGAGCAGGCCTGGGCGATTGCATCTTTCCTGTTTGAGCCAAATCGGAGTTTTCTATTCTCCACTCCACGCACCCGCTTCCCTGTGCTGGGGTCCTCACCCCATCCTGTTCTGGGGCCACGCACAGGAGACAGGACTGCGGCACCCTCATTCTCCAGGGAAGCCCCGCTGTTTCAAACTGAGACTCAGCACCCCCAGCACTAGCTTGCCGGCTGTCCTGTGGTGGGGGGCAGGGTGAGCGCACGGCCCCACCCAGCCGGTGTGGAGAGAAGACTCCTTGGGAAGTCCCAGGTCGTAGAGGCAGGCGGCTGTCTCCACCGGGCAGTTGAGAGGCCCAGCCACTTCTCGGTTCACTGCGCCCTTTTCTGGGTTTAACAGGATTTCAAAGTGACTGATGAGTAACCGTGGAAAGGGAAGAGAGCCTTAGCTCCTTCTCCGTGCAGCGCAGCACTGTGGCCATTCTAACTACACTGTCTGGGCCAGTGTTTGGCTCACCTGATGGCTTAGGAGTCCCTTTTTGGTAAGGAGGGAGGCCTTTTGAGACAATCACTCAATTAATAATAGTCAGTTTATATACAAGGCTGCTATGTGTGGGGGAAGGGGACACAGATGTGTAATTGAGCAAATATTTAACTGCCCTCTCTGTGCCAGGGACTCTGCCAGGTGGTGGGGGGGTGGGAGGTTGAGTAAGACCTGGCCCGTGCCCATGGGCACTTAGGGGAGAACTGAGACAAATCTGTAGATGAGTCTAACGTGAGGTAGAGATGACAGGGACCCCGGAAAGGTACTGTGAGTCATGGGGATTGGGAGAAGGGAGCCAGACTGCCCTGTGAAATCCCCGGGGCCCTGCCTCTGCCCTTGGGGAGTTTACAGTCCTCAAGGGGAAAGTGGCAGAACCAGTGAAATACAAAGGCAGCCTGTGATGTGTGTCCCAAGTATGCCATAGACAAAGGACTCAGGAATTTCAAGGCTGAGAGGGGCCACTTCTCTTGGGCAAGGAGGAGGCTGCTACAAGGGAGAAGCACATTGCAGGTTTGGCAAACTGAGGCAAGCATGCGGTGTTGGAAAGTGAGGAGCCACTTAGTGGATAATTGGGGGGTAATTAAAAACATGGAGAGATTGCTCAGTGTAATTTGAGAGCCACTGCGCTCTGGATGACTGTGGGGTGACACCAAAGAACTTCAGTCTCCACACTCAGCAAACCCTGGCAGCGCAGGTGGGCAGAGCCAGGTGTCTGGAGAGCCGGCATTGGCAGGCTCTGGGGAGCTCCCCAGCCCCGGAGAGAAGGGCAGCATTCGGTGAGGCTGTTCATCTGAAAGGTTCAGGAGGGTAGAGGAGAGGGAGGGCCCTGGCTTTCTTGCTTTTATTTTTAAACTTTTTAACCTAAGGGGTTGGAGATGGGACAACTTCTCTCTCGTAGGATGAAGGACGCATGTTAATCACAGCCTGCCTTTTGCCCGCTCTTGCTCCAGAAAAAACAAAACAAGGATCTGTTAGCTCTTTAAAAGAAGAAAAACACACTAAAAAAATGCAGCATTGTTGTGTAGCCTGGTAGGGTATTGCTAGAAACCAGGCTGGCTGTTCTTCCTTTACTTCCTCTTCTAGCTAATTCTTCAATAAAGTACTTAAGACAGCCCTTACCAGCTTGACATCTTTATTTCAAAAGGAGAGGAGGGGTTGGCTGTTGTTTTCCTCTGAGCCTGGCCCTACCCTTCTCTTGGAGGGGGAGAAAGAGAAACCCAAAGCAAAGGAAAAAGAGAGAGAGAGAAAAAAAAAAACCCGTGCCTTGACAGCTTCCTCCCAAGCATCATGTTCCAAAAATATTTAGAATAACAAAATCTGTGTGTCGTCGTAATTAAACAAACGTCCTAATTTACTGAGCATAAAACAGCATCTCTGCCTGCTGGGGCAGGAAGTGCATTTCCCTTTGTGCAGCCCCAGAGAGTCACTGCCTCTCAGCCTTAACCCTTGGTGTGCTGAGACCCTGGGCTGGAGTCCTCTGCTGACAAAAGAATGGAGCCCTGGCAGTGCTGCTGCTGTGGCTTACTGAATCCCACTCTTAGAGCTGGGAAGAGTGGGGTAGTGGAAAGAACGTGAGCTTTGGAAACAGGCCGAGTTCAAATCCTGACCATGCTACTTAATAGCTTTGTGACCTTAGGCAAGTCACATAGCCTCACAGCTTGGATGTGCTTATGTATAATATGGGAATCAAGATCCTACCCTGTGGGGTTAGATGCATGAACTGAAAGAAATAAGGTATGTACATGGCCTAATATGTAGTGGCTGTATATATATATATATATATATATATATATATATATATATATTTTTTTTTTTTTTTTTTTTTTTTTTTTTTGAGACAGAGTCTTGCTCTGTCGCCCAGGCTAGAGTGCAATGGCGTGACCTCAGCTTGCTGCAACCTCTTCCTCCTGGGTTCAAGCAATTCTCCTGCCTCAGCCTCCCGAGTAGCTGGGATTACAGGTGCCCACCACCACACCCCACTAGTTTTTATATCTGTAGTTGAGATGAGGTTTCACCATGTTGGCCAGGCTGATCTCGAACTCCTGACCTCAGGTGATCTGCCCATCTCGGCCTCCCACAGTGCTGAGATTACAGGTGTGAGCCACCGTGCCCGGCTCATATATGGTTTTTGTTTGTTTGTTTGTTTTTTGAGATGAGTCTCACTCTCGCCCAGGCTAGAGTGCAGTGGCACAATCTCAGCTCACTGCAACCTCTGCCCCCAAGGTTTAAGCGATTCTTCTGCCTCAGTCTCCCGAGTAGCTGGGATTACAGGTGCCTGCCACCATACTTGGCTAATTTTTGTATTTTTAGTAGAGATGGGATTTTGCCATGTTGACCACGCTGGTCTGGAACTTCTGACCTCAAGCGATCCACCGGCCTCGACCTCCCAGAGTGCTAGGATTACAGGCGTGAGCCACCACACCCAGCACCCCCTCGCCCACTTTTTTTTTTTTTTTCGAGACAGGGTCTCACTCTGTCACCCAGGCTGGAGTGCAGTGGCACTATCTTGTCTCACTGCAACCTCCGCCTCCTGGGTTCAAGCGGTTCTCATGCCTCAACCTCCCGAATAGCTGGGATTACAGGTGCCCGCCACCATGCGTGGCTAATTTTTTTGTATTTTTAGTAGAGACAGGGTTTCACTATGTTGGCCAGGCTGGTCTCGAGCTCCTGACCTCAGGTGATCTACCCGCCTCAGCCTCCCAAAGTGTTAGGATTACAGGCGTGAGCCACCGCACCTGGCACCCCCCCCCCTTTTTTTTTAATATAAATGATCAGTCTTAACTCCCTAGGTTATCAGGTTGAGGGGGTGGGGATGAGGCTGGGGGACAGATTGTTTTCCTGGCTTCTAGCTCGGTGTTCTTTCTGCCTCTGTGCACAACAAGGTATGCGTGTATTGTGGTTGTGGACTGTGGTTGTGGACTGCCTATTCACAAGTGGCTATGAGGCCCATCTGCTGATGCTTTTGGATGCACTTGGTGATGAACTTCTGCTGAGTAACCTCTTCACAGGGCCCCGGCTGGGACAGAAGGTGTGCAGACTGTGGTTTCAGTTCAAACACATGGTTTCCTGTGGTCTGGGAGATAGCCAAAGGGTGATACAGGAAGAGCACTGGACTTGGGTGACTGGAGACCTTACTTCCAACTCTGGCTCTGGGTGAGGGGAGGTTTGATTTCCTTTTTGTTTTTTGATTTCGTTTTGAAGCAGGGTCTTGCTCTGTTGCCCAGGCTATAGTGCAGTAGCATGATCATAGCTCACTGCAGCCTCAAATTCCTGGGCTCAAGCAATTCTCTGCCTCAGCCTCCTGAGTAGCCAGGATTACAAGTGCACACTGCTACACCTGGCTAATTTTTGTGTTTTTTGTAGGGATGGGATCTTGCTGTATTGCCTAGGCTAGTCTCAAACCCCTGGGCTCAAGCAACCCTCCTGCCTCAGCCTCTCAGAGTGCTGGGGTTACAGGTGTGAAATACTGCACCTGGCCAGGTTTGATTTCCGAGGAGGTGCCGTATCTCCCTACAAAGATATCATACCAGTTTATGTGCCCACAAGTTATGTATGGGAGTGCCTGAAAAACTGAAAAATTAAGTAATTTTATTTATTTATTTATTTCTTTATTTGAGATGGGGTCTCACTCTGTTGCCCAGGCTGGAGTACAGTGGCATGATCTTGGCTCACTGCAGCCTCTGCCTCCTGGGTTCAAGCAATATTCCTACCTCAGCCTACCGAGTAGCCAGGATTACAGGGGTGCACCACCACACCCGGCTAGTTTTTGCATTTTTAGTAGAGATGGGGTTTCACCACGTTGGCCAGGCTGGTCTCGAACTTCCGACCTCAGGCGATCCACCCGCCTTGGCCTCCCAAAGTGCTGGGATTATAGGCATGAGCCACCACACCCAGCAAAATCAAGTAATTTTAATTTCCTAGGCACTCTTTTTTTTGTTTTTTGAGACTGAGTCTCGCTCTGTTGCCCAGGCTGGAGTGCAGTGGTGTGATCTCGGCTCACTGCAACCTCCGCCTCCTGGGTTCAAGCGATTCTCCTGCCTCAGCTTCCCAAGTAGCTGGGATTACAGGCGCCTGCCACCACGCCCAGCTAATTTTTGCATTTTTAATAGAAATGGGGTTTCACCATGTTGGCCAGGCTGGTCTCGAACTGCTGACCTCAGGTGATCCGCCCGCCTTGGCCTCCCAGAGTGCTGGGATTACAGGCGTGAGCCACCGCACCTGGCCAGCACTCTGGTACCTTATTGATGGGAGTGTATATTGTACAACCCTCTTTTTAGAAGGTCGTTTGGGGCTGGGCATGGTGGCTCACATCTGTAATCCCAGCACTTTGGGAGGCCAATGGGGGAGGATTGCTTGAGCCCAGGAGTTCGAGATCAGCCTGGGCAACACAGGGAGAGTCTGTCTCTGGGTTACATTAAACAACAACAACAACAACAAAAGAAAGTTGTTTGGCAGTATCTGTCAAAGCATACTCCTTCCGACTATATTCTAGGAATTCATCTCACAGATAAACTCAGATGTGCTGAAGGAAATGTCTGAGAATCTTCATTGCGGCATTGACATAGAAGATGACAGGAAACAAGTTGTGCTATTAAAAAGGTCAACTAAATCATGGTACAGCTGTACAGTGGAAGTCCTTGCATCCCTTTGAAAAATGAGGTCAATCCATATGTACTGATAGGGTGTGCTCTCCAAGCTATGTTGTAAGTGAAAAACACCAGACGCAAAGTAGTGTAAATGGTGCTTCGTTTTGTGTAAAACATGGTATGTAAACTCTGCTCTGTGCATGCAGTATTTCTGGAAAGATACTGAGACCCTGGTAATGGTGGTTGCCTAGGGTCTAGGCAACAGGAGCAGGGAGTGAGCAGTACATTTCACTCAATACTTTTTTTTTTTTTTTTGAGATGGAGTCTCGCTCTGTTGCCCAGGCTGGAGTGGCATGATCGATCTCGGCTCACTGCAACCTCCACCTCCTGGGTTCATGTGATTCTCCTGCCTCAGCCTCCTGAGTAGCTGGGATTACAGGTGTGCGCCACTATGCCCAGCTAATTTTTTTGTATTTTTAGTAGAGACGGGGTTTCACCATGTTGCCCAGGTTGGTCCCCATCTCCTGACTTCAAGTGATCCACCTGCTTCTTCTTCCCAAAGTGCTGGGATTACAGGCATGAGCCAGTGTGCCCGGCCATATTGTCCCTAAAGAATAAAAAATTCAGCTATTTCTTATTTTTCTTAACTATAAAAATAAGGGGTCCAGCTGGCTAATCTGTAGGTCTCAACTTTAAAGTGCATTGCTTTAGGTTCCATATTGCATATTGAATGCCTACCTTTTACAAGGTAAGAGGGAAGGGTCTTTGTGCTTGAAACCTTTGGGTCCTGTTTTCTTCCCATGATGTCACATCACTAGAGTAACCCCTTAAACAGAAGTCCTTTCTGATCTACTTCCTCATATTCTGGGAAATGGTAGATGATTGATTTTTCTTTGCTGTATGAGAAGAGAAAGCCTGCATGTGTGTCTGGAAAGCGTTTTGGGATACCCTCTTGCAAGGTTTCCATAATTCGCTTGGCTCCAAATCATAAGCTGTCCTGTCCTGGGGAGCCCACCCCAACCTGAAGCCCAACCCAGGCCCTCACATACCTGGCTTTCTTTCTTTTCTTTTCTTTTCTTTTCTTTTTTTGGAGACAGAGTCTCACTCTGTTGCCCAGGCTGGAGTGCAGTGGCGTGATCTTAGCTCACTGCAACCTCCACCTCCCAGGTTCAAGCGATTCTCCTGCCTCAGCCTCCCGAGTAGCTGGGATTATAGGCACCTGTCACCACGCCTGGCTAATTTTTGTATTTTTAGTAGAGGCAGGGTTTCACCATGTTGGCCAGGCTGGTCTCGAACTCCTGACCTCAGGTGATCCACCTGGCTTGGCCTCCCGAAGTGGTGGGATTACAGGCGTGAGCCACCGCACCCGGCCACCTGGCCTTCTTTTTTAACTTGGGGTCATTGCATCCACTATTATGCCCCTTCCCACTCTGTCCCCAGTTTCCCCTAAGACATCTGGCCTGTGGTTTTTATGTATAACAACACTGGAAAAGCCCAAATTCTTGAGAAGATGTGATCAGAGGGGTGTTTTGAATGGGAGGGCCCTACCCCCCTTCTCAAGGATGGCTGTCTTTCGCCTTGGATGGTGTGGGCCCTGGGAGGAGCTGCCGGCGCTGCTGTTGTGCCCGATTGACTCCTTTCCTGAGTGAAGTCTGGAAGACCCCATCAGGGTCCTGAGGTCCTGCAAGGCAGCCTCCGGGCCTCCTGGGGGAATGGTGTGAGTCACACATGAGCACACACTATGAGACTGGCTCTAAAATGGGACCGCCACTGCATGGGCGGGCGGCCTGTATCTGTACCCAGCTCCCTGTCCCTTGTGCTTAGATGGCACCAAATATTTGGGAGGCAGGAGGGGAGCTGCCCACTCTGATGCATGTCTCTTTAAAAAGTAACCTAGGCTTCTGTTGGAATTACTCAGGTTCCCATTCCCACGATTAGCTTCTCGAGCCTGAGATGATTCAGCACCCGGGCAGGTGTCCCCAGAGAAGGCCCTTAGCTAGCCCGCCAAGCGCTGGAGCAGCTGGGAGTCCCTCAGTGGCTGTCTGCATCTCTAGCCCAGGACCCTCCTGCTGTGGCTGGAAGGAGCCTTTGCAGGGCCTTCCGGAAGGGTGTGGCTTCCTGCCGTGCAGGTTGGGCTAAGGCCTGTAGTGGGGTTACAGGTAGCTGATCTTCCCCACCCTCGAGTCACTTCCTTGGTACTTCTCAGAGGCCCTTACCATCCTTATGGTATGTCCCAGAGGAGAAAAGGGGCTTCTCAGGGAGGTCCCTCTCTTGCCTTCTTAGGCCAAGATGATGTCTTTCTGTACAACTTTTTATTTTTCTGAGACGGAGTCTCGCTCTGTCACCCAGGCTGGAGTGCAGTGGCGCGATCTCAGCTCACTGCACGCTCCACCTCCCGGGTTCACGCCATTCTCCTGCCTCAGCCTCCCAAGTAGCTGGGACTACAGGCACCCGCCACCACGCCCGGCTAATTTTTTTTGTATTTTCAGTAGAGACGGGGTTTCACCGTGTTAGCCAGGATGGTCTCCATCTCCTGACCTCATGATCCACCCGCCTCGGCCTCCCGAAGTGCTGGGATTACAGGCGTGAGCCACCACGCCTGGCCTCTCTGTACAATTTTTAATGTGTTGGGGGAGCTCGAAGCTAATCTCTGAGTAGGTTGCCACTCACCAAAAGGACGTGGGCCTTAGAAAGAAGAGCCTTTCTTCTTGCATTTTAACTCTAATTTGAAATCATCCCCTGCTTAAAAGAAAAATCAGCAACAACAATGAAAACCCTCCCTACTGGATTTAGAATTATAGAATGCCTGGCTGGAAGAGATGTTGGGAATAATTAAAATAACATTTCTTTTTTTTTTTCCTAATTAGAGAAAAAGCGATTTGCTTAAGCTCATTCTGTGAGTCGGTAGAAAACCTTGGCCCCTGGTTTCGCTCATACCCAGTGCCTTTCCAAATCAGGAGGCTTCATTTAAGCGTGTTTTCTAAATGGTGACTCTCTTTTTTTTTGATGTTTATGCCCTGTTTAGCCAAGCAACACATACTGAGCTCCTTTAATCTTTCCTTAAGAGTCTATTCTTCTACTCCCTTCGTCTTTTTTGTTGTTTTTTGTTGGGGGGCACTAGGGTTAAGGAATGGGGTGGGAAGTGTTTTGGGTTTCTCTGAACTTCTTCCAGCTGGACGTGACCACTTGGGCTGAAAGTTCCCACAGCTCGAAAAATCAATATTTCACATGGGGTGGTGCCAGGCAGCAGGGTGGGCCATTCAGAAAGCCACACTGCTGCCCACTGTCCTCAGCCAGCCCTGATTTCTAGTAACTTTAGGTCACTTAATGTCTCCGGTGATAATTTGTTATATTTTCAACACAAAATGCACGGGAGAAGGAACAAAATAAAGTTTTGGGATCAGGCAGAGCTAGGAGCAGACCCCCCGCCTTTTCTCCTGCTGCTCGCCTTAGTTTTCCCATCTGCACCGTGGAGAAGCCTCTTTCTTAGCATTATAAATGGATGTGAAGTGGTCTGTTCCTCCTCTTCCTCCCCTTCATCTCTCTTCTTTTTTTATGAGACAGCGTCTTGCTCTGTTGCCCAGGCTGGAATGTGGTGGCGCGATAGCAACTCACTACAGCCTCGGCCTCCGTCTCAAGCATTCTTCCCACCTCAGCCTCCTAAGTAGCTGGGATCACAGGTGTGCACCACCAGGCCTGGCTAATTTTTTTTTTTTTTTGTAGAGACAGGGTTTTGCCATGTTGCCCAGGCTTGTCTCAAACTCCTGAGCTCAAGCAATCTACCTGCCTTGGCCTCCCAAAGTGCTAGGATTACAGGTGTGAGCCACCTCGTCCAGCTTCTCCTTTTCTTCATAGTAACAATAACATCATCTCTCCTCAGGTGGTAGGAAATACACGTTCAAGTTTTTTTTTGTTTTTTTGAGACGGAGTCTTGCTCTGTCGTCCAGGCTGGACTGCAGTGGCACCATCTCGGCTCATTGCAAGCTCCGCCTCTCGGGTTCACGCCATTCTTCTGCCTCAGCCTCCCGAGTAGCTGAGACTACAAGGTGCCCGCCACCGTGCCCGGCTAATTTTTTTGTATTTTTGGTAGAGACGGGGTTTCACCGTGTTAGCCAGGATGGTCTCCATCTCCTGACCTCATGATCCGCCCGCCTTGGCCTCCCAAAGTGCTGAGATTACAGGCGTGAGCCACCGCACCCGGCCAGGTTCAAGTTTTAGAGATTTCGTATTTATCCAACAAGCCTGTCCCTTGATAACAAGGTGCGGTGATTAAGATGACTGAGGAACCTGCTGGAACTCGCCCCCGGCATTGATGCTGAGGTTTCTGATGCCTGCAACTTTTGCATCCTTTTCCCATACAGTTCAATTCATCTCATTACACTGATCTGAGCTGGTTTAAGTATTTTTTTTTTTAGAAAGGCTGTTACAAAGCGATAGAGGCACCTTTATTTAGAGTTGTCTATGTTCAAAAGCCACTACGTTTCCTGTGTTTCACATTAAGTCACTGAGCTAGAGAAGGCAGCTTCCTGTCAGATAAACATAAGAACGAGGCATTTGGGACAGTCTGGGTGACTTAATCTAACTGGGCCAGAATCGGGGAGAAGATTTGAGAACTCGCTGTCCTCTGCGGGTGAGGAGGTCAAAGGCGGGGTCTTCTTTCATTTCTGTCCCTATGCTGTAACTCCGTGTTTGGGACAGAGTCAGCTCCTAGTCCTTATTGCACAAATGGGGTTCAGGTCTCATTGGTGTCTTCACTTTTTTTTTTTTTGAGGTAGGGTCTCGCTTTGTCGCCTAGGCTAGAGTACAGTTGCACGATCTTGGCTCACTGCAACCTCCACCTCCCGGGTTCAAGCGATTCACCTGCCTCATCCTCCCAAGTAGCTGGGATTACAGGTGTGCACCACCACACCCAGCTAATTTTTGTATTTTTAGTAGAGACAGGGTTTCACCATGCTGGCTAGGCTGGTCTCAAACTCTAGACCTCAGGTGATCACCTGCCTCGGCCTCCCAAAGTGCTGGGATTACAGGCATGAGCCACTGCGCCCAGCCAGTGTCTTCAGTTCTAAGCCTGCGACAGGGAGGCCTAGATAGCCAAAAGCTTTTGAATGCCGGTTAGTGACCTCTTCATTTTACAGAACACTGATCGGGGAATCCCTGGGAGGAGAAAGGTGGTGGTAGGGGGGCATTTTCAAGTTTTTATTTTTTATATTTAAGAACCAAGTATTGGGTATAAGGGAGTTGCCCTTTGCCAAGTCAGTCCGCAGAGACTCCCTAAGCTCCAGCTATGTGGTCTGCACTGTGCTGGCTTGGTGGGGCTCAGCAGCGATGGAGGGCTGACAGCCTGTCCCTGTCACCAAGCAGCCTTATCCTCCAACAGGGAGTTGGGATACTGAGGCAAGCCCATGCTACCCTGAGTCAGGAGACATCTGAGCATCTTGAGCTAGGTTCCTGGAGGCTAGGATTGCCTGGGAGGAGGAGGGAGGATGGGAAGGTGGGCATGGAAGGGAGGAAGAGCTGCTCTCTGGGTCCCATCACAGTCTCGTTATTAATTATAATTATTAAAGTTTACTGGCCGGACACGGTGGCTCACGCCTGTAATCCCAGCATTTTGGGAGGCTGAGGTGGGTGGATCACCTGAGGTCAGGAGTTCGAGACCAGCCTGGCCAACACAGTGAAACCACGTCTCTACTAAAAATACAAAATTAGCCGGGTGTGGTGGTGCATGCCAGTAATCCCTGCTACTGGAGTGGCTGAGGCAGGAGAATTGCTTGAACCTGGGAGGCGGAGGTTGCAGTGAGCTGAGATTTCATCACTGCACTCTAGCCTGGTCAATAGGAGCAAAACTCCATCTCAAAAAAAAAAAAAAAAAAAAAAAGAAATTATTGAGCACTTGTATGTACTAGGTACCATGCTGATGCTTTTAAAAAATTATTATCTTTTATTTAAAAAATTTTAACTTACATTTAAAAAAATGGAAATGGGCTCTCACTGTGTTGTCCAGGTTGGTCTCAAGCTTCTGGCCTCAGGTGATCCTCCCACCTTGGCCTCTCAATGTGCCGGGATTATAGGCGTGAGCCACCACTGCACCTACACCTGGCCATGCTAGGGCTTTTACATGGATTATCTCATTTAATTCTTCCCTGGTTTCCATAAGGTAGGAACTTATCCTCATTTTGCAGATGGGGAGACTGTGCAGGGATTCAAACTTGGGTGCTCCAGCTCCTGACTCTGTGGCCTTGGAGACGCCCTGCACTCCAGGACTTGTGTTTCCTCACTTGGCGGTGAGTGGTTGGGCTGGTCCTTGAGGCCTCCACCCTCACCAGTGGCTGAGCATTCATTCAATGGGCAGAGAGAACGTTGGGCTGCAGCAGAATGGGATCTCCCGTACAGCAGTTGGCAACCCACAGCGGGGTTGCCAGGTCAGCATTGATGCCTTGGCTACTGACTTCACCTTTAACCCCACTGGCCATTTTTCAAATGAATGTGGTTGGTCCTAAGGGAGAGCAGGTGGAAAGACCCTGGCCCCAGCGTGAATCCAGGCACTGCTGTGCCTGTCTGAGTAGTGCCCTCTGGGGAACCAGCTAGCCAGGCAACCTGCCATCATGTTGCCTAGTGAGCTCTTGACATCAGCCATCTTGAAACCATTGGGTTCCTTTCGTCCTTCATCTGTCCACCCATCAGATTCATAGTCATTCAGCAGTGACTCCTACTAGGAGGAACTGATTCTAGGTATAAGGCACTGGCTGGGTGCTAGGAATATGGAGGGAAAAGAAACATAGGCCCTTGTTTCTGGGAGCTGATGGTCTCCCACCAGATACCGATGCTGGAAACCCAGGGAGAAGGCAGGGGGGAGTCTGAGAAGGCTTCCTGGAGGAGGCAGCCTTCGAGATTGTAAAGTAGAGACATGGTGTGGCAAGTCCAGGGAGCAGGGGTGGGACCTCGTTCAGTTGCCCAGACGCAGGCAGAGCTTTGTTCAGGGGTGATTCAGGTTGGTGAAGGCCCTGTGAGTCACCTGGGGCTGGTGAAACGTTTCCTCTCCTCCTTAGGCCACGACCCAGCCTCTGCATAGGCCAAGACGGCCCGTGAAGGCTTGTTTCCTTGCCCCATTTCCCAGGAAATGTGGGAGTGCAGGATTCCACTCCCAGGTCACTCACCTTGGGGGTGGATGCTGGGAACGCGGCCTGCGCCCTCTGGTTGTGTGGCCAGCATGTTTTTCTAGCCAAAGGACTTGGGATGAGATTTTTCATGGAATATTGAGAGAGACGTAATTGTTATTAGAATCAGTTCTGTTTTTATTTATTATTATTATTTGAAACAGAGTCTCACTCTGTCGCCCAGGCTGGAGTGTACTGTCACAATCTTGGCTCACTGCAACCTCCGCCTCCCAGGTTCAAGCAATCCTCCTGCCTCAGCCTCCCGAGTAGCCGGGATTACAGGCGCGTGCCGCCATGCCCGGCTAATTTTTGTATTTTTAGTAGAGATGGGGTTTTGTCATGTTGGCCAGGCTGGTCTCAAAAACTCCTGACCTCAGGTGATCCGCCCACCTTGGCCTCCCAAAGTGCTGGGATTACATGCTTGAGCTACCATACCTGGCTAATTTTTGTATTTTTAGTAGAGATGGGGTTTTGCCATGTTGGCTGGGCTGGTCTTGAACTCCTGATTTCAGGTGATCCACTTGCCTCGACCTCCCAAAGTGCTAGAATTACAGGTGTGAGCCACCGCGCCCAGCCAGTTCTTCTGTTTTTAAAGTAAAAAAAAAAAAAATAAGGTGGGGGTGTGTGTGGTGTTTATTGCACAAGCATTATTGCAACAAAGCTGGCAAGAAGCAGATTTGCCCTGCACCTCATCCACCGTTTTGCATTTTTCTGGGTTTTCTGTCCATATACACATGTATTTTACAAAATTGTAAGCAGAATGGAGACTGTGTGTGTTCTGAGTTACTACTATAATGCAAAGTTCCTATGTTTCATTGGTCGCCAGAATTCATATTTTAATGACCCTCTTATGTCCACTGAGGAGAGGGACCATTTTTCATGTTGCCAGAAAGTTCCACGAGTTTTATTGAGTCTTGGAAATTCATTCAGCAAATGTATCCAGTACATCTATTCTAGATCTAGGCCAGAAACTGCCCGCTGGTCAGGATGCAGATGAACAAGAGGTCCCAGGCCCTGTCCTGGAGGGGGCTCGCAGCGTAGACCTAGGAACATGCCACTTCACTCTGGTGTGGTTGTGATTGAAGGGGCTGAGGAGGTGGGGGCTGCTTGGATGCCCAATTCCAGTCAATTCCAGCCGATGGAAAACAGGTAAAACCACTTTGTCAGTAGTGGTGAGAAGGCTTAGAAACAAGGGAGCTGGGAGATCTGTCCGGGCTTTTGGAGGAAGCTCTTCAACCTGTTCACCCCGCCTCCGCCGTTGTGTCACTTCCAAGGCCCCTGGCCAGAAAACCCACTGGGAGGAAGTGAGGGAGAGAAGAAGTCTCCAAGGGACCATGACAACAGGGAGGCTTGGGAAATAGCCCCCGGCCCTTCTGAGGGAGACCCTACCGAGGGTGGCAGTGGAGCAGGGGCAGCTGAGGGCAGGGGCAGGGGGAGGATAGTGGGGTGGAGTGGTCTTCCAAAGTCGGAAGGCCATTGGCAGGAGACTTGGGCTCTGCTGAGGCCCCTGCCTTTTCCAGGATGGTGTGAGAATGGTAGCAACAAGTTGCAACAGTTTAGTTTTGTTGTAAAGAGGAAGTTTCAGAATCCTAGTGGCTACTTTTGAGCAGACAGATGTTTGTAAAGAGAGAGTATTTGGGGGTGGGCCTAAGGGGAGAAGATGGGTGGTCAAGGGGCTAGAAATTGGAATGCAAGGGCTGCCTTTGCTCCCGTATTTCCTTTCATTCCAGAGAAAGGCTTCCTCTGCCAGGTGTTGTGGCTGCCTCTTTCGGCCTCCAAGGCCCCTGTTCCCCAACCCCGGCTCCCCACTCAAGTCCCGCTGACCTGAATTCTGCTGTCTTCCTAGACAGCAGGAGAGAAGTCGTTTGCTTATGGGAAAGTTTCCAAAGTCTTGTTGCTCCCCACCCCACCGAGGGCACGAACAGGGCTGGGGGCCCAGGTGGTCACAGTGGCCACCGCTGCCCTTGTGTGTTGCAGATTTGCCGAGCTCCTTGCGTCCTCCCCTCCAGCCTGCTCTTGGGACCTGGATCAGCACCAGGCCTCTCGGGTTTGAGGTTTCACTGGGACAGCTCTGTCACAGTCCTTAATACCTCCCATGATTAAATACAAACTCAGCAAAAACACAATCTAAACCTTAACCTAACTTTTTTTTTTTATTACCTGTCATTTTTTTTTTTTTTTTGAGAGACAGGGTCTCACTCTTTCTTTTGCCCAGGCTGGAGTGCAGTGGCACAATCATAGCTTATTGCAGCCTCAACCTCCTGGGCTCAAGTGATCCTCCCACCTCAGCCTCCCAAGTAGCTGTGACTACAGGTGCACACCACCACACCTGGCTGATTTTAAAATGTTTTGGTAGAGATGGGATCTTGCTATGTTACCCAGGCTGGTCTTGAACACCTGGGTTCAAGTGATCCTCCTGCCTTGACCTTCAAAAGTGCTGGGATTACAGATGTGAGCCACTGCACGTGGTCTGAATTTATACTATTTAAAATTATTTAGTAGCTGTTATATTGGAGGAAGGAGAGGTGGATACAAGGAATAGAGAAAGCAACAGGAAGTGGGGTGTGGGGCAGGGAGTGGGTGACTTCAGAAGCAGCTGCTGGGTTTACATTTCATTTTCATTCAATTTATTTGTTCATTAAATACATATCAGTTGCTAGAGACTGTTCTAGGTTCTGGGGACACATCATTGATTAAGGCAACTGAAGTCCCTGCAGTTTACTCTCTAGTGGCGGAAACAAACAATAATCAAACATACTTACTAGGAAAGTCAAGACAGTAAGAGCTGTAGAGAGCCCAAGCAGATGAGGGGGTATGTTGAGAGGTACTAAATTGCTCAGGCAGCTGGGTGTGGTGGCTTACGCCTGTAATCCCAGCACTTTGGGAGGCCGAGGCGGGCGGATCACCTGAGGTCAGGAGTTCGAGACCAGCCAGGCCAACATGGTGAAACCGTCTCTACTAAAAATACAAAAATTAGCCAGGCATGGTGGTGGGCACCTGTAATCCCAGCTACTTGGGAGGCTGAGGCAGGAAGAATCGCATGAACCTGGGAGGCAGAGGTTGCAGTGAGCCGAGATGGCGCCATTGCACTCCAGCCTGGGCAACAAGAGTGAAACCCTTTCTCAAAATAAAAATACGAATAAAAAAAAATTGCTCAGGCTGCTATGATGAAGTACAAGATTGTGTGGTTAAGCAGCAGACATTTATCCCCTCAGTTCTGGAGGCTGGAAATGCAAGATCAAGGTGTGGACAGGCTTGGTTTCCTTTGAGCCCTCTCTCCTTGGCTCATAGATGGCCGTCTGCCAACTGTGTCCTCACATGGTCTTCGCTCTGTGCACGCACACGCCTGGTGTCTCTTCCTCGTCTTATAAGGACACCAGCCATGGGATTAGGGCCTACCCGAAGGACCTCATTTTAACTTAATTACCTCTTCCAAGGCCCTGTCCTCAAATACCAGTCACATTCTGCGGTACTGGGAGTTAGGGCTCCAACATAATGGATATTTTTGGGAGGGACACAATTCAATCTGTAACAGGGAAGAAGGGAGTAGGGGAGTGTGTTTGTGTCAGCAGAGGGTTCTCTGATCCAGGGACATTCTGTGGATGCCTTCAGATCTGGGGGAGGAGCCCTCCAGGACGGTGCTCTACCGGTTGTTTAATTGCTTTGAGCTCCAGTTTCTGTATCTGTAAATTCTGGTTCATAGAACTATCTGTTAGTGTTCTCTGGGTAGCTAAAGTATGAAATGCTCTCAGCAGTGTCTAGTTCATGATGGACTCCCGATAAGTATCAATGCCCCTCCTGCCCTTCTTCCCACCCCCCACTGCCCACCCCTGGTTCACCAGCGCTTTTTCCTTTTGTCCCACTTTGCTCTCTGCTCCGGGCTTCTACTTCTGATCAAAACACTTGAGAACTGGGTGGGGGCTGCCCTGGCTGCTCCCAGCTCCCAGGCTGCCCTGCCTTCTGCCCAGTGCCTGTGAGCCAATTGTTCTTGGAGGTGGCTCCTCCCCTCTGTTAAGTCATAAGCACTTTTGACACCGGTAAGGAGGAACTGTTGTAGAAAGCTGGTGCAGGACTATAACCTAAACTCCCAGGTACTGGCCCGAGTGTTGGATGGCTGCGGTTCGAGCGTGCGTTGCCAAATGCTTCGCTTATGCCACTGTTCCCAGCGGACTGCTTCATGTCTTAGCAATTCTCTGTGCTGGCTTATGTGCTGGTCTTGCTTCCCCTTTTAGAGGCCTTGTCGCCAGGACCCTTGCATGGTGCCTTGCCCATGGTGAGCACTTGATACATGCTTGAGAAACAGGTGAGGATATTCATACTAGAATGTGGGTGGCACAGACCCTGATGTCCTGGGTAGATGGCTTTATTTCTTTGGCTTCTGAGCCTCACCAGCATGATGGGCGTGTGTCTGGTGCTTAGGTAAATAGGCAGGCACTCTGGACTCAGACCATCTGCCCTAATCTTGGTTCTCCCACCTGCAGGCCCTTTGACCTTGAGTGAGTCATACAATCTTTCTTTGTGCCTCAGTTTTCCTTATCTGTGGAATGAGGAAAATAAATGCCACAGAGGGTTTTGATGCTAATAAAGTATAGCTTTATTGTTTATATGTTTTATCTGTCCACAATTTATCTGGCACAGTGCCAGGTGATATATTTTTATCTGTTTAAAAATTTCAGTCTATTTTTTATATCACGTTACAAAGGTTAAAGTCACTTTCAAGTTATTGCAACAAAAGTCTCTCAATCCCATGAAGGTGGCAGTATTAGTGTTCCTATTTTGTAGCTGGGAATGTTGAGAGTCCAAGAAAACCTACGTGACTAGCCCCAGGTAGCAAGTGAATGATCTAAAATCCTCTCCCAGCTCCTCATTTTCAGGCCAGTTATTTTCCATATCTACTTCCATCGCCTCTCCTGCCTTCTCATCCCACTTCAACCACTATGTGGACAATAGTTGTGAAATTGGGTTTTTGTAGACTTCCACACATAGCCTCACAGTGGTGGTTGCTGGGTCGCGTTACCTAGTTGGCTTTATGGCACCAGCTGTAAATTACAGCCCTCCCTGTTCCATCCTAAGAGACCTGTCGGGTAGACAGCAGGTGAAGGCTGGCAGGCTGGTGTGAGGTCTGGTTAGCCTGGTCCTTGTGGGGAACCTGGGTTTTTGCTGTCCTCCCTCTGAAGAATGGATACCGCCCCCTCGTACCTTCCTAGCCCACCAGCATGCTGTTCTCAGCCCGCCTTCTGCCCAGAGCCGGCCTGCCGCCCACTGTTTCCTGCCTTTGCCAGGGCGAGGGGGAGGTGGGTATATAATGCCAAATGCTCATGAAAAACGCCTCATCATGAGATTAATTACTTGCTGCCGAGCACTGTGGAATTCACGAGTCTCCATCAGCACCTCAACGTCTTCCCCTGAACTCTACCTGGGGTTAGTTCTGTGGACTCTCTGGCTAGAACTTTAAACCTATGTTAGACAGAAAGAAATAGATAGTGGCCACCAGTACGATGCTGAAGATCAGTCTGGCAAAATCCCTCCTGCCATTGACTAGCTGTGTGTCCTGGAGGCTTGATGTCCTCAAAGTGGGGACGCTAGGCTGAGGGCGCTTTCTGGTTGTGAGGCCTGGGTGTGCTGACCTGTGCAGTATCATACACCTTGGAGGACCAGCGTGGTACAGAGGGGCTGCAGAGGGGTGGGTCTCTTCCCTTTTAATACAGGTCACAGGCTTTAATGACCCTTAGGTTGAAATTAGAGCCCCCCCACCCCCACCCCCTTGCCTTACTTCTGGCTTTTACACAAGAATCTGAAGAATGTGATGCTCTATCGCGGACGGGGCAGGCTTCGCAGGCTCTTCCGGGCTTTGCAGGGCAGCCTTTGTTGTGCTGCAGGACCTGGGGCATTCCGAATTGGTTGTGGTTGGGAGTCAGAGACAACTCCAGGCTTATTAAATTCCTGGCTGTTTAGGGCGATATAGACAGCTGGGAGGGGTAAGGGTGGGGAGATAACACTCCTCCACCTCCCAGCACTGTTATCTTAGAGAAATTGGGTTAAAAGTGAGTCTGCTGGAGGGGATTGGTAGCAGACAGGAGGACAGATACTGGTGCTTTGGCCCTGGGCTACTGGAAAGCTTGCGGGTCCACCTCTGCGCTTCTCCTTCCTGATCACGGAGCAACTGCTGTTGACCAGGTCCTATGTGACGCCTTGCCAGATGCTCTGTGTGCATTCGCTGTCTCATTGCACCCCTAGAGGCAGTGGAGCAGAGTGGTTAGGGATGGAAGACCTGGAGCCCCAAGTGAGACCTGCAGGGTACAGACACCGGCAGCTAGTGCCTGTGTGTCCTTCAGCAAGTAAGCCTTCTGGCCTTGTTTCCCCATCTGCAAAACGGGATACCACTAGAATCTACCTCACAAGAGTGCTGTGTGCTAAAGTGAGATTCCTGGTGAAAAGCACTCAGAATAAAGTGCAAGTGGCCGTTATTTAATTACCAACAGGGTCCTGGGAGGTGGGCCTTTTCATTCCCATTGTACAGATGAAGAAAGGGAGGTTCAGGACATTTAAATAATTTGCCGGATTTCCTGAACCAGTGAGGAGAATCCAGCGCTTACCTCCAGGTTGGCCTGACTTCGGCCATATCCCAGCATCCTCTGGGGTGTCTGTATGCAGGCATGTGTGTGTGTGTGTTTGTATATGTGCATGTCTGTTTGCACAGGTCTCTGTGTGCATGTCTCTGCACCTCTGTGTGCACAGATCTTTGCACGTGTCTGTGTGCATGCATATCTGTGTGTGTGCAAGTCTGTATGCACCCATCTTGGACTGGGGAGGGGAGGAGGGGGCCTGGGGCTCTGTCCAGGGCAGGATGGCATTGGCCCAAATCTGGCAGCTCTCTAGAGCAGGGGCCGCTGCTGCTTCCTTCTTTCATGTGCAGCCACAGCTTTGGCCACTTTCAAACCAGACTGTGGCCTGGGCAAAGGAGTGCTGCTTGGTGAGTGGTAAAGTAAGCGGTAGTCACGTTTCTGGGGAAGGACTTGGTAAGGTCATCCTGCCGGCCAGGCTGCCTGCTCAAGGACACTGGGGTTGGCCAGCCTTTCAGACAAGGGTGCTGCCGCAACCCAGTCTAGGAGCGGTAAGTTAATTTTTCTGTAAAGTGCAAAATAAGTGGATTTCATCCTCACTTGTATTTGATCATTTCCCCCGGGGAATGCAGGAGGCTCTGGGATGCTTCTCTGGAAAGCTTGGCATTGCCTGCCATGCCTTCTATATGTCCAGGGCTGGCTGTGTGCTTGCTCATTTGAGAACCGGAGCAAGGGATGGAAATGTCGGGAGGAGAGACCGTTCACCCTTCAGTTTTGGGCTTCTTGTTCCTGGAGTCCAGGGCACCCCAGAGCAGTGCAGGAGAATCGGCCTCCCTCCCGTGCCACGTGGACTCTTGCTATTGGGTTATTCTGTCCACAGCTTTGCTTCCTCAGCGAGATCCTGCTTAACCCTCCGGAGGGTGACGAAGGAAGAGATCCTGCCTCAAGTCTTTGTTCATGTTGCCTTGGTAGAAAAGGAGGCCGCACTAGTGCCCCATTACCTTTGAGCTTGTGACCAGGGGACTCCTAAAAGTCCATGGACCGCACTGCAGAGTCTCTGCGAGCCCCCTAACGTGGTATGCAAGGCGTTCACCACCTCTCACAAGTTCTCAAAGGGGTCCTTGACCACTGACCTAGACAAATAGAAGCTTTGGGTTTTCCATTTGTAGAGTGTGCACACGTGAGTGTCGCATAACGGATGCAGCCTGGGGGCCGTTAGGATCAGGATGGGGGTTTGTTCTAGTCTAAGTTGTGCCACCCCAGGGGTGATCACTTTCCTGGGGCTCATCACTGTAGCTCCAGCACAGTGGCCTTCCCCTCCCTGATGATCCTTCTTGTATTTAAGCCTTTAGAACACCGTCACTTCTGGGTATCTCTTCAGTGTGGGGCTGGGCCTGGAGATGGGAGGGGTGATGTTTCTGATGCCAGACTTGATCTCTTGTTACCTTGGATGCTGAGGAAGGTGGGCTCCTCTTTCGTTCTTGTGCTCTTGCCCCTGCACATCGGCAGGGATGTTCCCGGGAAACCCTGTACCTAGGCAAGTCACTTAGCCTCCCTGAGCCTCTGAGGCTCTCTCCTTTTTTAGGGGGAGGGGCCGCGTGACCCTTCACTTTGCCAAGGCTGGCGGGATCAGATGATGTAAACACCACGAGATGAATGTGTCAGGTGATTGGGTTGCTACAGCTGAGTCTCACTTGCCTGGAGTGGGACACTCCCCCCGACCCCCCACCTCTCACTGAGTTTCCCTTTGGCTTTGGACTTGAGTTTCTGCTTGGCCTGGCTATGTGATCTTAGGCAGATCGTTCCTCTCCTTCCTAGCGTAGATAAGTCACGGTGGTGTTTTTCAAGAACTTTCAAGTGAGATTCATCGGTGGGTCGTGAAGTGAGTGGCAACCAGTTTGTTTGTTTATTTATTTATTTATTTTTGAGATGGAGTCTCGCTCTGTCACCCAGGCTGGAGTGCAGTGGCAGGATCTTGGCTCACTGCAAATTCTGCCTCCCAGGTTCAAGTGATTCTTTTGCCTCAGCCTCCCGAATAGCTGGGATTGCAGGTGCCCACCACCGTGCCTGGCTAATTTTTGTATTTTTAGTAGAAACGGGGTTTTGCCATGTTGGCCAGGCTGTCTTGAACTCCTGACCTCAGGTGATCTGTCCGCCTCAGCCTCCCAAAGCGCCTGGATTATAGGCGTGAGCCACCATGCCTGGCGGGCAACCAGTGTGTTTAGAAATGAAATAAAATAGACTTGAATGGAAAAGAATCAGAGTGAATAGCATGTGTATGTCACATTGTGACAGTTTTGTTAGACATGTTTGTATTTATGACAAAAAGTTTTTAAATTAAAATTTAAAAAAAGGCCGGGTGCGGTGGCTCATGCCTGTAATCCCAGCACTTTGGAAGGCTGAGGTGGGCAAATCACTTGAGGTCAGGGGTTTGAGACTAGCCTGGTCAACATGGTGAAACTCCGTCTCTGCTAAAAATACAAAATTTAGCTGGGTACGGTGGTGCATGCCTGTAATGCCAGCTACTTGGGAGGCTGAGGCAGGAGAATTGCTTGAACCCAGGAGGTTGCAGCGAGCCAAGATTGTGCCACTGCACTCCAGCCTGGGCGACGGTGAGACTCTGTCTCAAAAAAAAATAAAATAAAAAAATAAAAATTACAGCTTAAGATAAATGTTGGGGCCCCAAGGATGAGATGCCCTGGCGCCTCTGGCAGCCCTGACTTAGGGTGGTTCCTGCCTCCAGGCCCGAGCTGAGCTGCATGTTCAGCCAGGGCTGTAAAGGGAGCCCCTTGCCAGATCAGACTCCTTTACTAAAGGGCTTAACAAAATTCTGGGAAATGAGCTACCTTCCTGGGGTGGAATAAATCATGTCGAGTTGGGTTAGGCAGGATGTGACTTCAAACCCTCGAAGTGGGCTGTGTGAGGGCAGCGTCTGTGACTGACTCATTATGAGCTCAGTGGTGACACAGGCTGTCTTGAGAGGAGGCAAAGATCATGGGGGAGGGGCTGGTGTTCGGGGCTGCCCCGAGCCCAGCTCTGGGAGCTTATTTTGTCATCACAGTGGCACTGTGAGTTAGACGATACTCCGATCCAATGCAGAAGTAGGGGCTGGTGGGGGTGGGGGTGGGGGCTGTCAGCTAGACCCACTGGGGCTCCTTGTAGCTGTCCATGGGGGTAGCTGGGATCAGCTCCATTTTACAGGTGGAGAAACTGAGGCTTGGGGCCCAAGTCAAGCTGCAAAGTTTGCTGTTAGTTAAGTGGTGGCTCTGGCATTCCACAGGCAGCCTGTCTACCTCCTGGCTGCGGCTCGTCCTCAGATGCCTTCTGTGAAGGCTGTAAGTGAAAAATCACCATGAGCAGGTCCCTCTCCTTTTGAAGCCCATGATCAGAGTCCACTGTAATGACCGCTTGATCAATGCAGGGAGATTGTTGCTGACCCCTGGCCAGTGATGTGCCTCTTGGAAACAAAATAAAAATTAGTGTACGGCAGATATAGTTATCAGTGAGGCAGGGGGTGGGGCGGAGGGTGAGGACCCTGGATGGCCACAGAGAAGCTATGGCCCATTGTGGGTGGCCCTTGCTGTCTGTCCTGCTAAGGGGAGACATGAGCCACACCATAGTCATGTGGACTTATTTGGACAATAAGATAGAAGATGATTGGGCTTAACATCAGGCACTTAAGAGTGGGTGACGCAGATTTGACTGGAGTTGGTCCCTGGAGTCTGGACCTTTGGGAAGATGGGAGCCTCTCCCATGACTTTAGTTCAGCACCTCCCATATGTGGGGCACTGGGGATGCAGTGGTGACCCGATCTCTGCCTTGGAGCCCTCAGCCCTGCAGGACTAGAGGTGAGATGGCTACTGGGGGAAAGTGGCTTCTCATTCATTCGCTTTTTTTGTGTGATTTAAATAATCACTCAGAGGATAACAAGCTGCTGAAGGCTTGAAGGGTTCTAGGCTGAGCAACCTTCAAAAGTGATCTTCTGTTTCTGGTCTCTGGTTGCACTTCTCAGCAGTCGTGATGTGGACTCAGAAAGCCCTCATGCTGCACTTTCCCACTGAGACGGTGGCCGTATAATTACATCTTCTGAGTATGGTTATTTTTCTGCATTGGGTTTCAGCAAACTGTGCTCACATGCTTGAGGAAAGAAAAACCATTCTATCAGCAGAAGCTAAGGGAAGGAATAACTTTGCTGCAGGAATCTGAAGGGTTCAAGTTCCCCCTCCTGGGGGTGTGGGAAGCCTCCAGCCAGCTGGGGAGATACCATCTGCAGGGGGACATGCTTGGTGCGCTTGGTGAACCCAACCAAACCCTTCCCCTGTCAGCCGCTTCCAACCTGGGGGTGAGTCAAAGGGGATCATCTGCCCCTCACTATTTAGGAGGGGACGTCCCCACCATACCTGAAACAATTTGCTTTTCTTTGCAGTTTCTTCTGGGTGACTGAGAGAAAGCTTGTTATTGAGTAGGTAAGGCGCAGGTGTGATGTCACTGTGCAAATATTGAACCAATTAAAAGCAAAGCCAAGGGTCCAGTGTAGATGACTTATCTGCAGATCCAGCCCTAGGTCTGTCTGCCTGGCCTCTTAACATGGGGCAAAAGCTGCTTAACCTATTGTTTCCTCCTCTCCTTCCTTCCTTCCCTCCTTCCTGCCTCCCTCTGTCTCTCCCTCCAGCTACCCTTGGAGTGGTCATTCTCTTGGACTGCCAGGTTCCCAGAAAATACTTGCAAGCATTTTCAACAATTCAGTTATTTTCAACAAGCATTGATGCTCTCTCTGCAGCACCCTGGGCAAGAGCAAGAGGGTTGGGGAGACAGTTCCTGCCTCTAGAGAGTTCTAAGAGACAGCAGAGGACACAGGCAATGAAGCCATGGTTCTGTATAAGGCAGATTGCGCTGGGCCTGTTGGGGAGGAGGGAGAAGGGTGAGTAATTCATACTAGGGTAATTCATACTATGAGTAATTCATACTAGGAGAGGCTGCCTGGGGGCGATGGCATGTCCACTTGGTTTTGGGGACTCTCAGTCTGTGGAGAATTGGGGAGATGGGCCCTCCAGCTTGTCTCTGGGTGACAGCTGAAGCAAAGGCTGCTCTGGGGAGTGTGCTCTAGTGACTGGAATGGAGGGTTGTAGCAGGGGATAAGAGAGGTGTGGCTGGAAAGATGGTTGAGAGGCACTGGTGGAAGGCATTGGGGTGGGGTTATAAAGGCTGTAGGGGGCACACTTCTATCCATGCTGGGCGGGCTATCATTCTGGGGTGATGGCAGGGCTGGCCTCAAACTTTTGCTGCTTTCTGCCCTGGCTCATTGGTTGTTTGATTTATTCATTAAGAAATGGTTTCAGGCCGGGTGTAGTGGCTCATGCCTGTAATCCCAGCGCTTTGGAAGGCTGAGGCAGGTGGATCACTTGAGGTCAGGAGTTCAAGACGATCCTGGCCAACATGGTGAAACCCCATCTCTACTAAAATACAAAAATTAGCCGAGCGTGCTGGCATGCACCTGTAGTCCCAGCTGAGGCGGGATAATCACTTGAATCCAGGAGGCAGAGGTTGCAGTGAGCCAAGATTGTGCCACTGCACTCCAGCCCGGGCAACAGAGCGACTCAGAAATGGTTTCTGTGCTGAGGATCTAAAGCCATGTCTCTGTGGTCCTGAAGTTGGTATCTTAGTGGAGGACACCCCATTGGACACTTTATTGTGTAGTCTGTGTGACACATGCCACATGAGATCTGTGCCTAAGATGCTCTGGAAACACTGGCCCTGGAGCTCCTGGGATTGCTTGGTCACTTCTCACTGTCGTAGGACGGTGATTCCAGGACTCTCCTCGAGCCAGGCTCTATGGAGTAGGAGATCAGAGGGTAAAGTCTATGGCTGCACTTGTCCCTCTCGTGTCATTTAATCACTCTCCACCTAGCCTGGTCAGGGAACTGTCTTTTCTTCTCTTAGATTGGAAGCTCCCTCCTTGCAAGTCCCCAGTATTTTCCAACCACTGACTTCTCATTGCCCCCTCCATGCAGGTAAGGGAGGATGATTTCTGTTTTTTTTATTTTTGAGGCAGAGTCTCGCTCTGTCCCCCAGGCTGGAGTACAGTGGCGCAATTTCGGCTCACTGCAACCTCTGCCTCCTGGGTTCAAGCAATTCTTGGCCTCAGCCTCCCGGGTAGCTGGGATTACAGGCGCACACCATCACGCCTGGCTAATTTTTGTATTTTTAGTAGAGATGGGGTTTCACCATGTTGGCCAGGCTGGTCTTGAACTCCTGACCTCGTGATCTACCTGCCTTGTCCTCCCAAAGTGTTGGGATTACAGGCGTGAGCCACCGTACACCCCCAGCCAATTACTTTAAAATACAAATCTGATGTCACCTCTGCTCCTCCCCAATTATCCCTAGAATAAAGTCCACATTCCTAAATGGCTGATAAGATCCTGGGTTAGCTGCCCCAGTTTATCTCCTCCAGCCTGTCCCAAGCTATTGCCCCCACCCCTTCCCATGCAGGAGGAGGGACTCTATGTACCACATTCTGGTTTCTGGTGTCATTTTTTTTTTAAAAGAAATTGTTCATTTAATTTTTAAGTTGACAAAAATTGTTTATATCCATTGTGTACAACATGATTTGAAATACGTACTGGTGTTGTTTTTGATAGCCTGAGTTTCCTTCGGTGCCAGGCAAAGTGAAAGTGACCACAGGCCCTCCCTTGGACAGGCAAATGCCATCATCTTTCATTGTTTCCTGGACTTTCAGCAGTCACCTGAGCCCCCCTCCATGCCCGCTTCAAGGAGGCAAAGGCAGAACCTGCAGATGGGGCAGGCTCTGGGGCCCGGGCACTAAGTTCCTCTCTGGTTTTCTTATCTGCTAAGCATCAACACAGGCTTGGGTTGGAATACTGCTAATGGAAACAAGTTCCAGCTTCTTCTGTAAGCAAACAACATTCCTGAGGTGGAAAGGGAAGGGGGGCCCACCCGCAGTCTTCAGCTCCTACCTCCTGGGCACTGGCAGCTGGGAGGAGCCCCCCACTCCTTGTTAGCCTGGGGAGAGTGAGGGCCTAGGTCGAGGCTGCTGTAGGTTATTAGCCCTGGGTGACAGAGGAGCCACTTTATTGACCCACCCTGTAGATAACTGCTCTGACAGCCCTGGTGTGTATTGCAGAGAGTGGCCTTGTGCATACCTGTGAGCAGATAGGACATTTTGCAGGTGGGAAAGCCGAGGCCTGGGTGGTGCCTGCAGGATTGCACAGCTGGTCAGCACCTCGCTGGACTCAAATCCAGCTCTTCTGCCACAGGCTTTGTGCCCATCTCACCAGACCAGCATTTCCCAGACCAGCATGGAGAGAGGTTTTTCCTGCAGGATATTCCTGGGATGGAGTTAAGCAGATTTCTTTTTTCTTTTTCTTTCTTTTTTTTTTTTTTGAGATGGAGTCTCACACTGTTGCCCAGGCTAGAGTGCAGTGGTGCGATCTCGGCTCACTGCAAGCTCCCCCTCCCAGGTTCACGCCATTCTCCTGCCTCAGCCTCCAGAGTAGCTGGGACTACAGGTGCCCGCCACCATGCCCGGCTAATTTTTTGTATTTTTAGTAGAGACGGGGTTTCACCGTGTTAGCCAGGATGGTCTCGATCTCCTGACCTCGTGATCCGCCCGCCTCGGCCTCTCAAAGTGCTGGGATTACAGGTGTGAGCCACTGTGCCCGGCCTAAGTTAAGCAGATTTCTTTTTGCAGGCTGCTTCCTACAACATTTTGTGCATATTGTGATTGCAAGAGGGCCATAGGGAGACGGCATTCCATCCTTACTCGGCCACGAAACCCTCTTCCCTCTGCAAATTGCTGTCTTTATAGTCACTGTCCCTGAGAACTGTCCTCTATGGATGGATATAACCTGCAGAAAGAGTCACTAGACTCCTGGTAACTGATTTTCAGAGGGCCCAGGTGTCATTCCTAGGAAGAATGGGGATTAAATAGCTCAGAATCACAAGATAGAGGAGTTGGGAGGGAAATTCCTATCATGCCATTCTCCACTGGGAGCTTGAGCTACAACTCTTCTGATGTTAGGTGGTGGTGGTGGTGGTGGTGGTGGTGGTGGTGGTGGTGGTGGTGTTTGTCCTCATTCTAAAGCTAGGAAATTGGGGTGCTAACAGCTTCAAGGTCACAGGAATTGTGAGCAGGGGACCTGGGACTCCAATCCAGGTCTGTCTGGCCCCAAAGCCATAAACTCCATTGTGGTACATTACAAGCATTTATCTTAGGGTTTGCAGAACCAGGACCTCACATGGCTGTGGTTTTTCCACTTCTGTCTGTCACTTCTGAGTTGATACCAAAGGTTGATGTTGCCAGCACCTACTTGATAGATGGAGGCGTAGCATTCCAGGAGGGCACACGACCTTCTCATGGCATCCTAGCAAGAGCAGAGGCCATGCCAGCCAAGATTCTTTCTGGTATGTCGGACTGGTAGTAGGTGGTAGGTGCCTCTACACTGGTTAATCAGGGGGTGCTAGAAGGTTCTAGAAAACAGAGATGGTTGAACTATATGTAAAACCAGTAAATTATCCTCAGTCCTATTTCTCTTTGTAGATTGAAAGCCCCAGTATGCATTCTTTCCCTTTTTGTTTTGAGGATATAAAAATTAGTCCATAAATGGTTTGGTGTTTGTAACAAATTAGGTGGCTATAACCCTTACGCGTGTGTGGTTTCAACTTGGCTCTCCTGTTACCTTCAGCTCTCCAGCCCTGTCCCTCTTTGCACAGCCACAGCCCAAGGGGATTTTCCAGCCTCTGGGGACCTTCCCCATTAAGTCTTTCTTCCTCATTTTGGCCTTGTTTCTCATTTATTCATTCAGGACACTTTAACTGAGCACCTGCTCTGGGCCAGGCATTGTGCCAGACATTTGGAATTGATGAATGAGACCCAATTCCTGTCCTCAAATAAAACTACAAATAATGAGTATTTAGCTGTTTGGTTACAGTGGAACAAGTACAGAGCACAGACGGGAGGGCCATAGATATGAGACATCTTTTTGCTGCAAAAAGTCTTTAGAGAAGGGAGCGTTTGAGCTTTGATCTCAGAGAGGGTTCCTAATACAAAGGACACTTCTCTGCCTTCTTTGAAGGCCTGGAGGCCTGAGCAGAGTGTAGTGTGACTGGGGAATTGATTATATACCGCTGGGAATGACTGTGGCAAAAGGAAGGGCAGGGGCAAGATGAATGGGTGGGGTCCTAGAGGGCTTGCTTAGCATGCAGATTTTATTCTGGTGAAGGTGTGGAGCTGTCGAACCATTTTGAACTGATCAAATAATATCAATGAAATAGGAAGTCATATAAATAGGAATTTGAATTTGTGAGTCATCAGAAAGGAGTTCTGTAGAAGTGGCAGGGGAGGCCAGGAGGGAGGCAGTTGGAGCAGTCCAGAAGGGAGGGCCTGTGGGCCTGGACTGGAACAGGGCACGGGCAGTGGTGTTGGCGGAGGGCTGGGGAGGAGTTTACGGTGACTGTCTTGGGTGGCCAGATGGATGGTGTCTCCCAGAGATGGACACCCAGAAGAGGGTATGGGTCTGGGGAGAGATGGTGGGGGAGTTCAGGTGTGATGGTGCATCCACCAGGTGGAGATGGCTCGTTGGTAGGTGTTTAAATATATTTATTAATATATGAAGGGGTGTGGGGGAGAGCTCTGGGCGGGAAATAATCCGGCTGTCCCAGTGGTGGAAGCCATGGATTTCCTGGGTCTAATCCAGATTGATTTGCCAAAACTATTCAATAAATAGCGTTTGGGCCTGGTGCGGTGGCTGACACCTATAATCCCAGCACTTTGGGAGGCCAAGGCGGGCGGATTGCCTGAGCTCAGGAGTTCGAGACCAGCCTGGCCAATATGGCGAAACCCCATCTCTACTAAAATACAAAAAATTAGCCGGGTGTGGCGGTGTGCACCTGTAGTCCCAGCTACTCGGGAGGCTGAGGCAGGAGAATTGCTTGAACCGGGGAGGTGGAGGTTGCAGTGAGCCAAGATCACGCCACTGCATTCCAGCCTGATGGGATTCCCAGGGTGGGGTGAGCTGGCACAGCTGTGTCAACAGCTCCCACCCCCAGCCTCCAAAATGTGGCTCCCGCTTGTCTTCCGTTAATCATCTGGACCCTTTGATGCTGGTGACTTTGCTTATGAGTCGCAGGCTGAGCTGCCGTGTTGGAGGTTCTGAAGGTGCTTCTTGCCTGCCTGGGGAGGCACATCAGTCTCTTCTGCCTGGTTGATTGGTTTACTTTTAAATTGGGTATTCAGGATCTTTAAAGCACAGTCCAGCAGGAGAATCTAGGTCAGATCTCTTAGAATACAGTATGTTACAAGGAGCTGTCATTCCTTGGTGACAATGCCATCCATAATGGCCATTTTTATGGGGTCCTGGGAATCCTTTTGCCCTGAGGATTTCTGTTTTGTTAAGGAGATTTGGCCCGTGCACTTCAGAGATGGGGGAGGATGACGACTGAGAGGTCTGGCTTCATAGTGCTGCGTTTGTTCACACGAACCCCTTCAATCAGTGGGCTCAACCGGGTGTGATTTGTCTTCCCCCGCAACCCCCAATTTCCACCTTTGGTGATGTCTGGAGAGGTATTTGGTTGTCACAACTGGGGACAGGGTGCGACTGGCATCTAGTGGGTAGAGGCCAGGGGTGCTGCTCTGCTGCTAAATACCCCACGTGGCACAGGACAGCCCCACCACAAAGGATTCTCTGGCCCCAGATAGCCATAGTGCCGTGGCATCGTTTTGTATGTGGTTATTGAGCGATCGTACCTTCTTCCTGTACGTTGGCTCTTGCTTTTCTCCCTCGGCCCGGGATACCTTTCCACCATCTCTTCCCTTCCCTGCCAATATTCTACCCATCTTCCAGGACCCAGTTTAAATGTCATATCCTCCATGACACTCTTCGCTTGAGTGTCCAAGGAAGTGTCCCTTTCTCTTTGTTCCCACGGCAAGTTGCATGTTCCTCTCCTCTTCTTCGCTGAGTCAGTGGTGGAGCCGGTTGTTGACGTGGTTCTTCCTCTCTGCATGAATGTTCCACTATGGTAGGTGTCCTGTCTCATCATTATGTGTATTTAAGGAATACATGCTGCATTAAGCAGCCCTGCAAGGCAGGGAAGGCAGCATAAAATATTATCTGCATTTACAGTTGAGGCCAGAGAGGTGGCACCGGCCGAAGGCCACACAGCAAGGAGTTTCTGCATTCATCCACATGGCAGATCTGTCTAGCGGGTGCTTACTGCGTTTGGGTGTTGGATTCAGCAGTGAACAGGACAGAAGGAAGCCCAGGAGCTTGCTTTCTGTCTACTCTACCACATTGCCCAGGTGGACACTCCACCTAGTCACCTAGGTTCATGTCCGTCCTGCCGCGCGACCTCATTAGAAACCCCCTGGGATCTTTATGCCTTTGTCATGATTTTTTTGCATGTGGATTCTCTATGTATTAGTTGATTGAATAAGTGAATCAAATGAGCTTGAAAAATTCTACATTATTATAGCAGCTGCTTTCAAAGAATCTTTTTTTTTTTTTTTTTTTTTTTTTTTGAGATGGAGTCTCACTCTGTTGCCCAGGCTGGAGTGCAGTGGCACCATCTCAGCTCACTGCAACCTCTGCCTCCTGGGTTCAAGCGATTCTCGTGCCTCAGCCTCCCTAGTAGCTAGGATTACAGGCACGCGCCACCACGCCTGGCTAAGTTTTGTATTTTTAGTAGAGACAGGGTTTCACGGTTTTGGCCAGGCTGGTCTCAAACTCCTGACCTCAGGTGATCCACTCGCCTCAGCCTCCCAAAGTGCAGGGATTACAGGCATGAGCCACCACGCCTGGCCCAAAGAATCTTTCTTAACAATGGAAGCCAGCTACTTCGATAGTTTTATTTAACTCAAAACCAACGGCCGCAAGTAGAAAGAGAAAGGACATGTTCACCTGTGTTCTCCAGGATGGGGGTGGGGATGGAAAAAAACAAACAGAGGGGCTGCTTGCATACATCAGTGGTGAGGCTGGAATAGGGCTTCCAGTGTCTGGGCTGAGGCCGCTGGGGTGTCTGAACTGAAGCCTTGGCGTGCCCAAGGCCATTGGAGATTGGTTAGGTCAACTCCTGGCAGACTGGGCACAGAGAACTCAAATGGCTCACCCAAGGTCACACTCCCACCTTCTTTCTTACTTTTAGCACCCAGCAATTTAGGTCGGAAGGATGGAGTCCCTTGTGCAAGCCAGCATGGGGAGATGGGGTTTACAGCTTTGAGGTGGCATTATCAATGTCTGCTTAATTAATAAAGGGGGGGTTCTCTGTTTGTTTGCTTCTTGTAGCCCCCTTGACCTCACCAGTAAGGCAGCTAAGGGGGAAACGGAGCAGGGCATTGAAGCCACACGGGGCTGAGTCTGACCCTAGGTTTTGTGCCTTGTCTGAGCCCCATTTCCCCCACCTGTAAAATGAGTATGTATGTGCCTCATGAAATTATTGCAAGGATTGAGTGAGAACATGCAGCGCTTCCTAGCAGGTCCTTGGTCTATGCAGCTTTACGGTGAAGGTGATGACTTGGACACTCCCAGCCTAGAACTTGGCCCACAGAAAGGTTTACATCAGCCCTCGTTGTCTGGGAGTGGAAATGCTCTCAACGTTTCAACCAAAGATCTGAGAGTAGAATACATTCTGTCTTTAAGGTGCTAGCTGTTCATTTTCCAGACAAACCCACAAATAAGTAAAAAGAGAAACGGAGGGAGGGAGGGAGAGTATTCTCTGGGAAAACAGGGAGAAATAAAAGATCCATATGATGTTTGTGGGGAAGGGGAGAAGGCAAATAATTGAGGCATTACATTTTGGGTTGAAAGAAGATGTTTTTGGTCAACCTATTTACTTTCAGTTTCATCATTTCCTGAGAGTCCTAATTTAGCCTCTGGTTGTGTCCCGCTCGATTATGGCCTAAAAAGGCAACTGCTTGGGTTTCTTGGAGTTGGACTGGCACCCGCAGGAAGCCGGCGGGAAGGAAAGCGCTGGGGGATGGCCTCAGCCTGATCCAATCTCATCTCCAGGGGCGAGAGCTGCTTGCTTCCTTCTGAACCTCTTGCTGGCCTGCCCATTCCCACAGGAGCTCGGGACTTTCTGAGCCACGGAGATCTTTCCTCTGTGTGTGTGTGTGTGTGTGTGTGTGTGTGTGTGTGTGTGTGTGTTTTGTTTTTTGTTTTTTTGTTTTTTTAAGTGGTAGATGATGATGCTGGTTGGTTGCTTTCACATGTACATCCTGCTCAAATGGCAGTGCATGTCGATTCAGCCCTTTTGGAAAACAATTGGATGGGACATCCCAGGACTGTAGAAGTGTTTGTATGTTCTTTTCTCCCGTAACTCCACTCCTGGGAATGTATCTCAAGGTGGTGGTACACTACGGCCGGGTGCGGTGGCTCACGCCTGTAAGCCCAGCACTTTGGGAGGCCGAGGCAGGCAGATCACCTGAGGTCAGGAGTTTGAGACCAGCCTGGCCAACATGGTGAAACCCCATTTCTACTAAAACTACAAAAATTAGCTGGGCGTGGTGGCGGATGCCTGTAATCCCAGCTACTCGGGAGGCTGCAGCGGAGAATCGCTTGAACCTGGGAAGCGGAGGTTGCAGTGAGCTGAGATCACGCCACTGCACTCCAGCCTGGGTGATAGAGCGGGACTCCATCTCAAAAAAAAATAAAGATGGTATACTAGATAAGAGGGTAAAAAAACCTTATAAGTGGTCCTTAAAAAAGAAAAAAACACTTGAGAATATTGAGAATATGCTGCAGCCATTAAATGTTGGACAGTGAGGCCTTGGTGTCAGGAGTTCTGGGTTCAGGTCCTCATTCCCCAGCTTGTGTGACCGAGTAGAGTTACTTTCTCTCAGGGCCACCACTGCATCATCTGTAAAATGGGTTGGATAAAATTGATTAACAAGCAAATCTGAGGCTGGGTGTGGTGGCTCACACCTGTAATCCCAGCACTTTGGGAGGCCAAGGCAGGCAGATCACATGAGGTCAGGAGTTTGAGACCAGCCAGGCCAACATGGTGAAACCCCGTCTCTACTAAAAATACAAAAAATTAGCCAGGCGTGGTGGCACACGCCTGTAGTGCCAGCTACTCGGGAGGCTGAGGTGGGAGAATCGCTTGAACCCAGGAGATGGAGGTTGCAGTGAGCCGAGATCGTGCCATTGCACTCTAGCCTGGGTGACAGAGCAAGACTTCATCTCAAAAAACAAAAACCAAGCAAATCCTAGCCCTACAGGAAAATAGTCACAGTAAGTAAGGAAAATACAAAATCTGAAACTCTGTCCTCTGCCTGATAGTTAAAAATCAAGTGTTTCCATGAGCCAGGTCCAGAAAGGACCACGAAAAGAAAGAGAAAACTGATTTTGCAAGGCGGGGAGAGGCGGTGGGGGGAGTTCAGGAATTTAGGGGATTATTTTTCTTTTATTTTCAAAAACTTTTTTATTATGGGCAGTTTTAAAAAGTTTCACCTGGGCACAGTGGCTCATGCCTGTAATCCCAGCACTCTGGGAGTCCAAGGCGGGCAGATCACCTGAGGTCAAGAGTTCAAGACCAGCCTGACCTAAAACCCCATCTCTACTAAAAATACAAAAATTAGCCGGCTGTGGTGGTGGGCGCCTGTAGTCCCAGCTACTCGGAAGCCTGAGACAGGAGAATTGCTTGAATCTGGGAGGTGGAGGTTGCAGCGAGCTGAGATCTTGCCATTGCACTCCAGCCTGGGCAACAGAGTGAGTCTCTGTCTCAAAAAAAAAAGTTTCAAAGAGGCTGTTTAACAGCCCCAGGACAGAGTAGGAAGGAGTGGCTGCACGCTGGCTGCTGTGTTTGATAGACTACCTCCCGGGTATCCCGCTGTCGTGCCCCTTATTGAATTTTTAGCAGCTCTTTACTATCCCCCATTCATAAATGAGGCATATGGATTATAGATAAGGTGGTTTAACCCACATGCATCCTGGAGAGGTCTGAGTATTAACCTGACTGAACACACTTATACACACACACACACACACACACACACACACGCCCCCAGAGGCACAGGATACGAGTGGAAACAGCAGCTCTGCTGCAGCCCTGTGGCTCCCCATCATTGAATGTGGCTGATCCTGCCCAGGTGGCCGAGGGGGCTTTCATAGAAACTCCACTGTTTATCCTGACCTTTGCGGCTCTCCCTGCCGGTCTAACCCGTGTATTGATCTTGGCGCCGCTGCTCACCCACGTCATTCTAGCAGAGTTGCTGAAACCAAATAGCCCTGTCCTTGGCCAGGCTGAGCAGAGCCCAGCCTTGCTTAATGAAAAGTTCTGGGAGGGAGGTGCCCAGCAAGCTGGGGCTCTGACCTTCAGCTGGAGCCTTGGTCCTTGGAGGCGGGGGGTGTCCCTGGTGGGATGCATTCTCTCTTCCTCTTGCAAGAACTGTGGCTTGGTGGCCAGGCCTCTGCTAGTCTTCAAGTGGACACCACTGGCCTGTGACTGTCCCCTGCCCTCCCACCAAAGCCTGAAAGTCGGACAGGGTGAGGTTCTGAGGGCAGTTGGTTGGGTGGAATTCCTCCCCGCCAGCTGGTGTGATGTTTGTGACCCTCCAGAGCGGATTTCCAGGGCAGTCTGAGTGCCTGGGCCCTGCAGCCTGAGGGTGCCCATGGGCTGCCGAGAAGCCAGGCTACCAGATGGGTTCTTTGCTGTTAGGGTTGGCATTGCTGGGGCGAAGCAGCGTTTGAGGACGGTCAGAGCTCATTCTGCCACTGCTGATGGGCTGCAAGCTTGCGCCGACAGTAGCGGGCCGAGGGAGTAAATCTTGAGTTCTAACGTGCCTGCTTTTTGACGGGCCATGTGGTCCACACTGGGAAGGCTCACTCAGCCTTCCTGCCTACCTGATAACATCCGGCAAATATTTGTTGAACGCTCTGGAATGCATTCCTCTCCACTCCCCACATCACACTCAGCTCGTGGGGACAGTTAGGGCCCAGCTCCAGTGCCGGCCTGGCTTCCGAGGGACCCCAGGCACAATTGTTCTGGGAGGAGGCCAGGCACAGGAGCCAGGCGTCCCTGGGTTAGCGTCCCACTCCATGCCTGGGTTGGGCAACTCTGGGCAAGTGACTTGCCCTTTCTGAGTCTGTTTCCTAGTTTATGAATTGGGGATGATGAGACAGCTCTTTCCCAGGATGGTTGCCAGTTAGGTGAGGTGGTGAATAAACTGAGCGTGGTGCTGGGAGGTACTTAGTAACCATCCCCTGCCCCTTCTGCTCTCGGTAGGAGTCTCGTGAGGGGCACCGATGTCCTCAGATGCGTTCATTGGCGGGGTCAGCAACACACTTAGGGTTTGGGGGCATGGGGTTCAAGTGAGTCTCTCTGCTATTCATGGAGTTATCCTTTGTGGGTTTGAGGTCTATGAAAAGGCTGAGAACCCGCAGCCTGAGACCTGTGTTCTGTGATTGCTGCAAGGTCTTGAGCAGGGCAGGGGCGCGATGGGGAGACTTTGGGGAGCCTGGGTGCTGGGACCCTAGGGGTGCCTGTTGACTAGTTAGTGGTTAGACACATGGTAGGGAGAAAGAACAACTAGGATTTACCTGGCAGGGAGAAACCTTGGATTTGCTTGAATGGACTGGCCAGGGTGAAGTGCAGACAGCTGAAAATAAGCTGGTGGTGCCCTGGAGGCTGCTCCTGGTATAGACCCTAGACCTCAGACCCGCAGCAAAGACGAGGGGCGGCCAGGCAGTTCACAGCCACCGTTCCTGTCTTGTTTGCTCTGACTCATTCTGAGCCCGGCCTGCTCTCAGGGTGGTCCTTGCAGAGTGGATGTGCCCCCTGGCCCCCACAAGGGTCTGTGGGGTTTGCCTGTGTTGGGAAATGTCAACAGAGCCACCGGCCGGGGAAGCTGGTGATGCTGCCAAGCTCTGTTCCTGGGACTTGTGTCCCTCCTGGCGAAAGGGAGCCAGCAAAAAGGTTTTTTCCTGGAAAACCGCCCCTTCTGGAGTGAGTCCAGGGGAGCCCCTTGGCCTTGACTGAAAACCACTAATGAGCCCAGATGAAAAGTTCTGGTCAGCCTAGATTTTTCCCTTTGTTCTTTCCCTCCCATGCCCCCAGCCTCCTTGGGATCCAAGTCCCTCTTGGAATCTGGAAGCACAAAAGCCCATGGTGTTCCGTGTTTGGATCTGGGGACTTCCTGGATTGCAGGGGCCTGAGGGGAGGGGGCTTGATCTCATAGAGGGAAAAAAAACCTTCCTGATCTTCCTTGATTTCCCAGCGGGAGCTGGGCAGTGAGCTTCTGGGCTGCCTCCTCTGGTGGCCACAAGCTGAGTCAGTTTTACACTAGGGTAGTCACCTCAGGTGATCCCAGCCTGCGCCTCTGAGCAGGAATAACGATGGTGTTAGTCGTGGAAAGGCCACAGGACTGGATGACTATGGAGAAGCCCCTTACATCCAGGGAGCTTGTTTCCTCATCTGTAAATTGGTGGTAATAATATATACCTTACCTGGTTTACAGAGTTGTTACTACAAAGACCTTTCGAGATAGCGAAATATGTGTGAAAGCATTTCATAAACTATAAAACCATACAGATATATAAGGCATTGTTATTTTATGTCTTTTTTTTGAGACGGAGTTTTGCTCTTGTTGCCCAGGCTGGAGTGCCATGGCACAATCTCGGCTCACCACAACCCCCGCCTCCTGGGTTCAAGTGATTCTCCTGCCTCAGCCTCCTGAGCAGCTAGGATTACAGGCATGCGCCACCACGCCCTGCTAATTTTGTATTTTTAGTAGAGACGGGGTTTCTCCATGTTGGTCAGGCTGGTCTCAAACTCCCAACCTCAGGTGATCTGCCTGCCTCGGCCTCCCAAAGTGCTAGGATTACAGGCCTGAGCCAGTGTCCCCAGCCTATTTTATATCTTCATTTTGCAAATGAGTTTTGAAAAAAGCAAACACACATGAACTTAAGTTCTCTTGGCTCATGAATTGTGAGGGTCACTTTTGACCTTAGTGTCCCCAAAGGGAAGCACTCTTAGCATTCTCCATGTTTCTTGGAACCTGGCATCTTTTCTCTGTGCTTTTTTTGGGCTGTATTATCAAGATGGAATTAAAATCTGGTGGCAACATGTACTGATGTTTTATTTTCTTCTCTTGTCTTAGTTGACTTCATGAACTAATAACAAGTTTTTTAAACTGGAAACTTCCACTATGTGGGGTTGTAGTCAGTTGTGTTTTTTGGCTGATTAGAAACCTGTTTTTGTTGGAAATCCTCCCAAACTGTGTGGCTACTTTGCTACCTTTGTATCTGTAGCATAGCGACTTGAATTGCATCTGTCTTTGAGACTCTTGTTATGTTCATTTGGCACAATAGTTTTCTTGATTGTGGATTGACCCTAGGGCGATACACCTTACCATTAGTTGCTAACAAAATCCCTGCTATCAGCTTGTTTTTCTGTTGCCCAGGCTGGAGTGCAGTGGTGTGAGCTGGCTTACTGCAACCTCCGCCTCCTGGGTTCAAGCGATTCTCCTGCCTCAGCCTCCCGAGTAGCTAGGATGACAGGTGTGCACCACCACGCCTGGTTAATTTTTGTATTTTTAGTAGAGATGGGTTTTCACCAGGTTGGCCAGGCTGGTCTTGAACTCCTGACCTCAGGTGATATGCCTACCTTGGCCTCCCAAAGTGCTGGGATTACAGGCATGAGCCACTGTCCTGGGCCCAACTTGTTTTTTCAGTGATGCACATCTTTATCCCAAAAGTGTGGAGCAAGAAAGTTGTGCAGCCTGGTTATATAGAGTTTTACTGTGTCTTAATCCTATACAGTTTGCAAAGAGAAGAGGTGTGAGCATGAGTGATCTTGTGTGGCTGACGTAGTTGTATGTAATGTGTTGTCCTTCTCCTCCCCGCTTAGGTCCTGGCTATAAGTCACCATGGCACAGCAAGCTGCCGATAAGTATCTCTATGTGGATAAAAACTTCATCAACAATCCGCTGGCCCAGGCCGACTGGGCTGCCAAGAAGCTGGTATGGGTGCCTTCCGACAAGAGTGGCTTTGAGCCAGCCAGCCTCAAGGAGGAGGTGGGCGAAGAGGCCATCGTGGAGCTGGTGGAGAATGGGAAGAAGGTGAAGGTGAACAAGGATGACATCCAGAAGATGAACCCGCCCAAGTTCTCCAAGGTGGAGGACATGGCAGAGCTCACGTGCCTCAACGAAGCCTCGGTGCTGCACAACCTCAAGGAGCGTTACTACTCAGGGCTCATCTACGTAAGTGGCTGCCGTGGCACCCCGCAGGCTGGGTCTGAGGGCTCCGAGGTGGGGGGGGGGGGCGGGTCTTCCCATCACCCTCACGTGCCTGGGCCCTGGCTCTCTGGTTGAGAAGGGGGCTTGAAGGAGTGCTGGGGTGACATCCTTGAACTTTGACATCTGAACATCCTAGTGGGATGTTCTTATAGCATTATTCTTTTCCCTTTGCAGCCAAAAGCAAAACAGGAAGCCTGTTTTAGAACATACGTAGGGAGAAGAATATGGCCCTGTCTGAGGGATGGCCACCCACTGGCCTTCGTTCTCAAGTTTTGGTGGAAATATGAAGGTTCAGGTCAATGTTGTAGATTCCTTCTTTTTTAATTTAATTTAATTTAATTTAATTTTTTTTTTTTTTTGAGACGGAGTCTTGCTCTGTTGCCCCCGCTGGAGTGCAATGGTGTGATCTTGGCTCACTGTAACCTCTGTCTCCTGGGTTCAAGCGATTTTCCTTCCTGAGCCTCCTGAGTAGCTGGGATTATAGGCACCTGCCATAATGCCTGGCTGATTTTTGTATTTTTAGTAGAGACGGGGTTTCACCATGTTGGCGAGGCTGGTCTTGAATGCCTGACCTCAGGTGATCCACCCGCCTCGGCCTCCCAAAGTGCTGGCATTACAGGCGCGAGCCACCGCACCTGGCCTGTTTTTTTGAATTTTAATTATTTTTAATAATATCTTTAAAAAATCTTCTTTTTTAACATTTTATTTTTTAAATATCTTTAAAAATTTTTTTAAATAAAATATCTTAATTATTTAAAATATTTTAAAAAATATCTTAAAATAAAATATTTTAAATATTTTATTTATTTATTATTTATTATATTATTAAAATAATGAAATATTTTAAAAGATATTTTTAAAAATATCTTTATCTCTTTTGATTTCTTTCCAATAAGCTTTTTGCACTTTAAAAATGTAGTAGATTCCTTCTAAAGTAGGGAGTGCCAGTTCCTGGTTTCCTGCTTTGTTCCTCTTGCATCACTGGATCTCCTCTCCCTTCACCATTTGCCCCAAGCCCATTTTTGGTATCTCTGCCATCTTACTATTGTTTTTTTTTTTTTTTTTTGAGACAGGGTCTTTTTTAATTGGCCAGTCTGGTCTCGAACTCCTGACCTCGTGATCCACCCACCTCAGCCTCCCAAAGTAGCTCTGTTGCCCAGACTGGAGTGCAGTGGCATGATCACAGCTCACTGCAGCCTCAAACTCTTAGGCTCAAGCGATCCTCCCACCTTAGCCTCTCTGGTGGCTGGGACTACAGGCCTGTGCCACCACGCCTGGCTAATTTTTAATATTTTTATTAGAGACAGGGTCTCATTATGTTGCCTAGGGCTGGTCTCGAACTCCTGAGCACAAGTGATTCTTCTGCTTGGGCCTCCCAAAGTGCTGGGATTACAGGCGTGAGCCACTGTGCCCAGCCCATCTTGTTCTTTACGGATGCTTGTTGGTGTGGGTTACTTCCCTAGGGAGTGTGCTTTGAGCAGAGGTGAGCCACCAAGAGTAAGACTTGCTCTGGGACTCTGTCCAGCACTTTAGTGCTGGTCCCTTGCCAGGCTTGACCAAGGGGAAGTGTATTGAGAGTCCAGAGAGCAGCATGTGCAAAGGGCCAGCACATGCAGCAGATCAGGGGCGTCATTTTCTTTCTTCTGGCAAGAAAGAAAATGCAGAAACGCAGTCCATCACCAAGTTAGGAGACAGGGAGATGAGCATTTATGCATCCCAGAGGCAACGGGCTCTGGGGTCACAAAGTCCTGTCCAATATCAACCCCAAATTCCTCTGTTCAACTCAAAGATATTTCCTTCTGGTTTTGTCCCCAGTGGGAAAGAAATATCTGCTTGTTATTATTCCTAAAATAGCTCTTTATTTCTTTATGTTGCCCTAGCCACCTTGAACTTTGGGCTGAATAAAACAGTCCTCAAAATGTTTTTGACCTAGTGGAAAAAAGCCATGAAGAGGTTACTATAGGCTGGGCATGGTGGTGCATGCCTGCAATCCCAGGACCTTGGGAGGCCAAGACGAGAGGATGGCTTGAGCTCAGGAGTTTGATACCAATCTGGGCAACATGGTGAAACCCCATCTCTACAAAAAAATAAAAAAATTAGATGGGCATAGTGTGGCGTGCCTATAGTCCCAGCTATTTCTTAGAGGCTGAGGTGGGAGGATCACTTGAGCCCAGGGGGTCAAGGGTGCAGTCAGCCGAGATTGCACCACTGCACTCCAGCCTGGACGACAGAGTGAGACCCTGTCTCAAACAAAAAAAAGAAAAAAGATTATTATGGCCTTCCCACTTTACAGATGGGAAGACCAACTTTCAGACTGAGGGATTTTGCTCATGGTCACATATGTAATAAAAGCAGGTGGTGGCAGGCTCATTCTGTTACAGAGACAGCAGCTCTGAAAGGGTCAGCCGTTTAATTTTCTGTGTGACTTCAGACAGACTTAAGCACATTTCTACGAGGTAGACTCATGCTTCTGAGTGCCCTGCAATGTGCTAAAGCCTTCAATGGGAGCCATGGGCCATTGTATTTGCCCGGAACTCCTGACTAGGACTGCATTTCCTTGTTGATTGCTAAATCAGTCTGTGACAACGAGGTCTTTGTTTTCTGCCATCGATGCCCACCCTTTGGGGGATGAACCTGGCTCATCAAAGACCTATCAACAAGTAGATATGTGGAACAGTCTCCTTTACAACCCAGCCTTCTTTTTTTTTTTTTTTTTGAGACGGAGTCTCACTTTGTCACCCAGGCTGGCGTGCAGTGGTGTGGTGCCATCTTGGCTCATTGCAACCTCTGCCTCCCGGGTTCAAGCGATTCTCCTGCCTCAGCCTCCTGAGTAGCTGCAACTACAGGTGCCCACCAGCATGCCCGGCTAATTTTTGTATTTTTAGTAAAGACGGGGTTTCCCCATATTGGCCAGGCTGGTCTGGAACTCCTGACCTCATGATCCGCCCACCTCGTCCTCCCAAAGTGCTGGGATTACAGGCGTGAGCCACCACGCCCGGCCCCAGCCCAGCCTTCTAACATGGCAGGTGGGAAGAATTGAGGCCCAGAGATAGCAAGGAACTTAAGCAGGGTCACACAGCCAGGTGTTGGCCAGGCTGAGGCTGGAACTTGGGTTCCTGATTTTCAGACCTATTGTGTCTCATCTGTTGCTTGATAAGATTATCATGTGGACCAAATTAAAGGCCCCTGTCCCTAAGGAGTATTAACCACTGAAATTCAGAATTAGTGACTTGCAAATAAATGAATGGCAGACTGTGCTTTAAGGAAGCACAGTGTGTCTGTGGGGGTGACATGGGAGCTGCAGCCTCACTGTCTGGGATTGGGAGGCGCTCCTCTTGGCAGGCTTTATAGCTTATGTCACACCCACTCTGCTGTGCCACTAAGCTGAGATGGCCTCTGCTCAGTAAAGCAGAGCCCTTAAGTGCTATAGTTGGAGCCTCGAGGACCTGGTTCAAATCCCAGCTCTGCCCCTTACTGGCCATGAGACATGGCTATGTGGAGTCTCACTTCCTCATCTGCGAGGATTCCATGGGAACTTTTTTTTTTTTTTTTTTTTGAGACGGAGTCTTGCCCTGTCGCCCAGGCTGGAGTGCAGTGGCATGATCTCGGCTCACTGCAACCTCTGCCTCCCGGGTTCACGCCATTCTCCTGCCTCAGCCTCCCGAGTAGCTGGGACTACAGGCACCCACTACCACACCCGGCTAATTTTTTGTATTTTTAGTGGAGACGGGGTTTCACCGTGTTAGCCAGGATGGCCTCGATCTCCTGACCTTGTGATCCTCCCGCCTCGGCCTCCCAAAGTGCTGGGATTACAGGCGTGAGCCACCACACCCGGCATCCATGGGAACTTTCTAAAGTACCCAGCCAGCACCTGGCTCGGGGCAAGGCCTGGGGGCCTGGACTCAGGCTGCTGATGTGTGTTACAAGTGAAAATAACTCCTGTTTCTCTCCTTGGCTCTTTATTGGTGCCTTTTTAACTTGAGTCTCTTTTGGGATCTGCTGGATATGAATTAAAACAAGTGGAGCACCTGAGCCTGCCTGAGCTTGCACAGGGCCTCTCCCTCCCACGAAAGGGAACAGTCATTATTCAGATACATTCAGTGTTAGTGGCTGCGTCTTTCCATTGCAAGCCACACGCAGAGGTTTTACTGTGGGTGGGCGTGGTGGGTAGTGCCCACACCTTTTCTCTAGAACTCTTTGGCTGGAGGCATTAACTCTCATTTTTGCTTCCTTGCTGTCACCTCTGGTGTGCAGTTCCTCCTGCCTCTCACCAGCCTTCTTCTAAGCATCATCACTAAGAGGCCCATTGATGGCCTCTGTAGTCATTCTAGTGGAGACCCCAGCAGATGCAGAGTTATTAGCATGTCAGCGCCCCTGGGCGGGGCCGCCTGGATGGGGAGGTGCTGCCTGGATGGGGAGGTGCTGCCTCATTCATGGTCTATCTCTCCATCAAGCTTCCAAATCATGACCTCAGGAGCCTTCGTGCAGCCTGTTTGCCCAGCATTGTGGGTGGCGTGGCTAATTCTGAGCCACAGCTGCTCTGTCTTTTTCTTCAGGGGGTGAGGCCCTGGGATGGGGGCGGATGGGCACAAAGAGCCTCTGTGGCCTGTGAATGGAGCAGCGCCGTGTCGTGGCCGCGCCGCGTGGGCGCGAAGCCGCTTGCTCGATGTCTTGCCTCCACGAGCATCCAGTGAATCTCCTTCCTCCCACCTGAGCCTCAGTGCTCTTTCCGCAGGGCTTAGCTCCATCATCACTGCTTTGACGGGATTAGCCCAGAGAACTTTGAGCTCCCGTAGACCACTCCATAGGACCATGTGCCCACCCAGCTGTCAGAAAGACTTGTCCTAATGACCCGTGGTCCCCTTCTGCTGTCAGCACCAGCTGTTTCCAAACATCTGGCTCCATGGCACTCCCTTAGTGTGCGACCACGTGTCCTTGGTTTTCCTGGGCTGGATTTCCTAGAGTGTGGGTTTTCTCAAAGTCCAGGAACAAAGCTTGATTGTTTCTGAGCTCCTGGGGTGACCTTGCTGCTCCCTGGCCTTCTCTCTTGTCCCCACTCAACATTCACGCAGAGGAAAAACCAGAACAGGCTCCCGTGTCTCTTCCTCCTGAAATGCCTGGGCCCGCAGGTTGCCAATACCGTGTTTACACTTCTTCAGAGCTTTCCTGGTCTCTTGTGAAAAGAGCAGTTGGAGGGAAAACAAGTGACTAATTATCCCAGGAAGAAAGGAAATCAAGGGCCCTGCATCTCCTTTTCCAAGCAGCCAAACACGCTTGTCCATTTCTAAGCTCAGCTGCTCTTTTTTTTTTTTTTTTTTTAAGAGCAGGGTCTCCCTCTGTCACCCAGGCTGGAGCACAGTGTTGCCATCATGGCTTACTGCAACCTCGAACTCCTGGCCTCAAGTGATCCTCCTATCTCAGTCTCTTGAGTAGCTGGGACTACAGGTGCATGCCACCACACGCAGCTAATTTTTATTTTAATTTTTTAATTTTTTGTAGTGATGGAAACTTGCTTTTTTGCCCAGGCTGGTCTCGAACTCCTGGCCTCAAGCGATCCTCTCACCCTGGCCTCCCCAAGTGCTGGAATTCCAGTGTGAGCCCCTGTGTGTGGCCTCAGCTGTTTTGAATGCATACCATTGTGTGGTTGTTGGGGCCCTCTGGGTTCTGCCTTTAGTCAATTGCTGCTTGGAAATTCCCTGTGCCATAGCCTTTGGCCAGTGCCTGAGAAGAGCCTTCTCTTCATGACTGGTTCCTATGTGGACCCTGTCTTTGGGTTCAGCCACAAGATCCATCCCCAGTTTTGGAGTGACTGGAGAGGGCACAGGTGGAGGGGGCTGGGTTGACTCTGTAGTGCATGCAGTCCCTCAGATGGTGGCTGCTTCATGAACAATGAAGGTGCAGGCCACTTGTGATGGAGAAAACAAAAGGTTGGAAGGAGCTCGGAGAACTGGCCTCCGTGACCAAGGAGGTTGGCATTGGAGACCCGAGTCTGCTCCCAGCTCTGCCCAATGCCTTGTGACCTTCCATCATCACTTCACAGAGGCAGGGCCGTAGGTGATGTGGTGCGTGGAGCCCCGGCTTCACTTCGCCAGGCCCCTCAGGCCCATTTTCTTAGGAAGAGGGTACTTGGGTCACTCCAGTTGCTTGAAGAGGGTTGCGTTCCCCAACTGAACATCTGCCACCCTGGGTGGTCTTGGGAGTCTTGCGCAGCTTTTAGGAATCTTTTTTTTTTTTTTGGTGGGGGAAAGGGATCTTGGGAGAAAAAGTAACAGGAAACTTATTAGAAAAAGAATTAGTAGTCACAAGGTAAAGTATATTTCCCTGAAGACACGGAGGTAGTCACAAGGTAAGGTGTATTTACCTGAAGATGAGGAAGGACAGATGTGTGTAAACTGTTGCTGTTGGAAATGGTTCTCCTCGCCTACCCAGAGCTCCTCTCCAAGGCTATGCTGCGTGCTGTGCTATGTGCTTCATTTAATCCTCATAACCACCCAATGAGGTCTAGAGCTCTGCCTGTCCCCGTTTTTCACATCGAGAAATGGAGGGGGAGAGAGGTTAAGAACCTTACCCTTGCTGAGATTTGAACTCAGGATATCTGACTCTGGGGGTCTTATTTGAATTTGATCAAGTCACACTTGGAGTATTGGGTATATTTTAGGTACCTCACATTAAGGATGTTGATTAATTGGGTTCCCCTCCAGAGAGGAAGTCTTGGAGAAGGCTCACGGGGGACGTGAAATAGTCTTAAAGTGTTTGAGGGATTTGCATGTGAATGTCTCTAGAAGATTCCAGAGAAAGAGGTGTCTGTCAGGGACCCACTATCCCACAAAGGATCTAATTGGTTTAGGACACAGTGCGTTTTTCCAGTGCTAGAAAGGTGTAAGCTTCACTATCTCTCAGCGTCCTTCAGTGTGGAATGATTTGTGTTTCTACAGTTTGCTGCGCTGCAGCTGAGCCCTTTTCTGTTTGTGCCTCTCTCACGATGACAAAGACATCTCTCATTGTCCTCGGATCTGAGTTTTGTAACTGGACTTTGCTGTTGTCTGCTTGGCCGCGGACCTTGCCTGGTGGATACGCACACTCACTGACCTATGAGGCTGGAGCACTCCTGCAGTGGAGAGGGAGGATCTTCACTTACAGGGCAGAAGGAGGATGCCGGTGCTTCACACCTGCAGCAGGGCTGCGGGAGCTGGGCCACTGGGAGCAAGGGCCATCAGGGAGTGCCTTCACATCAGGCTGACTCAGGGGTCCTTTGAAGCCGCAGATATTTTGCTACAAAGTTTGTACACTACTGAGAATCAAACTTCCTAACCTGTTCCTATCTGCCGCTCTTTTCTTTAGACCTATTCAGGCCTGTTCTGTGTGGTCATCAATCCTTACAAGAACCTGCCCATCTACTCTGAAGAGATTGTGGAAATGTACAAGGGCAAGAAGAGGCACGAGATGCCCCCTCACATCTATGCCATCACAGACACCGCCTACAGGAGTATGATGCAAGGTGGGTGACGTAGTGTGTGCCCACCTGGGGCTGAATCTTCACCTGGGGCCTCATTGACACCTTTGCAGGTGCTAAGTCACATTTGGTGCCACATTGATCTAGTGGCTGGTGATGGGCAGTGCATCATGGAGGTCTGTAGACCTCTGTATGAAAGCCAGGGCCAGTGGCTATCCAGAGGACATGTTTATATGTTGATAGAATGTTCTAGAAGCTTTAAAATATACATTTCCTAATCTTTCTCTCAATTTCTCATACTTTTCAAGAGCTCTTGTGCCTGTCCCCTCTGCTTTCTTTTAGGCCCCTTCTTCTTCCTGTTCTTCCCTTCCCTTTGTGTTTTTCCCTCTTCCTTTCTTGCTTCTTCCCCACAGTCTAGAAACACGTTCGAGTTCTTCCCATCTCTACACAAACAGATGCAGAGCCTCGGGTGGCTTCTGCCCCCCTGTCACTCTGGCTTCTGTGCCCCTTCTGTTCCATCGCAGTGAAGCTTTGTGGAGGAAGTGTCTGTGCTCACTGCCTCTATCCCCACCTCCTGGTCACTCCCCTCGCCCTGGCTGTCTGTCCCCACCCCTTCTCCAGACTGGCCAACAGAGGTCACCTATGTATGACCTGTGTGTTGCTAAGTCCACGGCTCTCAGGAGTTCCTACCTCACCTCTCCCCAGCATCGGACAGTCTCTACCACTTCCTTTCTTTCTTTTTTTTTTTTTTTGAGACGGAATCTCGTTCTGTCACCCAGGCTGGAGTGTGCAGTGGCATGATCTTGGCTCACTGCAACCTCCGCTTCCCAGGCTCAAGCGATTCTCTTGCCTCAGCCCCCCTAGTAGCTGGGATTACAGGCTTGTGCCACCATGCACGGCTAATTTTTGTATTTTTAGTAGAGACGGGGTTTTGCCATGTTGGCCAGGCTGGACTCGAACTCCTGACCTCAGGTGATCCACCCACCTCGGCCTCCCAAAGTGCTGGGATTACAGGCGTGAGCCACCGTGCCTGGCCAACTTTACTCTTAATAGAGCCCCCTACCCTGTGCTTCCACCAGCTGGTCATCTTTCTGGGATGTAAATGTGATCAAATCACTTGATTTGAAATCTTGACAAATCATAGAAAGGCTCCTCATTCCCCCAGAGCTATTAGGTTGCTGCAAAAGTAATCGCGGTCTTTGCCATTAAAAGTAATGGCAAAGACCGCGATTACTTTTGCACTAGCCTAATAACACTGTGACTCTGTGTTAGTGTACAGTGCCCTTCAAAATTGGCCCCTTGCCTACCTTCCCACCTTCCTAGCTATGTGGAACTCCTTACATTTCCCTAATAGCTCTTTCTGCTTCAGAACACCCTACCTGCTCCATCTGCCTGCAATGCCTGGCAAATCCCTATTCTTTTTTTAAAAACATGACTGAAGCATTAGGGCCTCCAAGGAGAATATCTGGGCTAGATTTGCATCAGAGCCCTGGTAGTGCTTTATTTGACTGCAGTGTTTACACGTTTCTTTTTCTCTCCTAGATACAGACAGGGCCCATGTTGCCTTTATATTCTCAGAGCTTAGCCAAGTACCTGGCATATGTAATCCTGACTCAAACCCAATTTTCAGGCAGGGCCGTGTTCTCCTATCTTGTATGGATAGTGGTTTGTTATGTCCCATTACATATGGATCCTTTTTTCTTTAAACTTTGCAGTCTATCTAGACAGTGGTGGTAATGCATCTTGTTGGGTTAACCACTTTGTCCCTGGTTTAGTGGTTTACAGTGGCAGCTTGCAGCCTGTCCTCCACCACCCACGCTGTGCTGTGAAGGAGGCATTTTACTGTTGAGCTTGATGCATTATGTAGGATGCTCAAGTTTGGCCGAGTCTTTGGCTTATGTTCACGTCTATCAAAATATCTTGAGGAAGTCAGGCCTTCAGTTCTAAAGTAGAATGTCTGTTTCAAAATGCTAACTAGAACAGCCTGGTGGAAAAACATTCTGTGGGATTCCAGAAAGGTCTGATTCTTTGTCTCTAGAGGTTATGAGTCAGTTTGCTCCCAGCTCTCTTAATTGGCCTAGTGCAAAAAGTGTACTCCGGAGTCATCTTGAGATCTGAGCTACTGAGTAAGGGCCTGTTCTCACACTTGGATCCTGGATTGGGATGGTTATCTAGCAACTGGGCATTTTTGCTTTTAGGCAAGACATTAAGACTGAGTAATGTGTACTGATGAGGCAGGAGACAGTCTTCAGATCTGGACTTCAGACTGTCTTCAGTTAACCTGTGGGACTCCTTCTCCAAGAGATTCATTCAATTTTTATTTGTTCAACAACAACAAAAATTTGGTGGTGGCCTGAAAGCTCCATACATTGAAAGTAATTGGGGGACAAAAAAAAGGATGCAGAGAACCAGAGCTTTCCTTTTTCTTGGCCATACCGAATGGCCTTCATAGGAACTTAGGGGCCACCCTCGTACATCTGTGCAATTCAGGGTCTCTTCATGATTTGTCAAGATTCTGAATCAAGTGGTTTGATCAGATTTGCAAATTATGAGGGCAGGTAGGTGGGCGATTTCTTTTTCTTTTTTTTTTTTTTTGAGATGGAGTCTCACTCTGTCATCCAGGCTGGAGTGCAGTGGCACGATCTCGGCTCATTGCGGGCTCCGCCTCCTGGGTTCAAGCAATTCTCCTGCCTCAGCCTCCTGAGTAGCTGGGATTACAGGTGCATGCTACCACGCCTGGCTAATTTTTTTGTATTTTTAGTAGAGACGGGGTTTCACCATGTTGGTCAGGCTGGTCTTGAACTCCTAACCTCATGATCCACCCGCCTCGGCCTCCCAAAGTGCTGGGATTATAGGTGTGAGCCACCGCACCCAGCCAGGTGGGCGATTTCATCTTTTGGAGACCAGGGATAGGAAATACATTTGTGAGCACGGGAAACTTGTATTGTTGATGCCTCCTTTAAAGCAGTCCGTGCAGGAATTGGGTCCATGTGTTTTCTAACCCTCAGTCTGAGAGGTTTTCACTTTGCCTTCTGCTAGCATTGGACTTGCTGCAGCTCTTGAGCTCCCACATTGACTGACGAAGGACGTCTCTAGGCTATTTTCCTTCTTCTTCGGCTGGGTGTGGTGGCTTACACCTGTAATCCCAGCACTTTGGGAGGCCGAGGCAGGTGGATCACCTGAGGTCAGGAGTTTGAGACCAGTCTGGTCAACATGGCGAAACCCTGTCTCTACTAAAAAAACAAAAAAATTAGCCAGGCATTGTGGCGCACGCCTGTAGTCCCAACTACTCAGGAGGCTGAGGCATGAGAATTGCTTGAACCTGGGCGGCGGAGGTTGCAGTGAGCTGAGATCGTGTCATTGGACTCCAGCCTGGGCAACAGAGCGAGACTTGGTCTCAATTAAAAAAAAAAAAAAGAAAAGAAAGTTCCTTCTTTTTGTATATAGCTGACCTGCAAAGCAAATACTAATAGGTTTCTTGCTCTTGGAGCAGGGAGGAAGTTAGTAACAGAAGTTGTCCATGTTATGACAAGCTGGTTCACTAGTAAAAGAAAAATATCCAGAGGAACCTTTGGTTCTTGCCCTGGGTCATGTGTCACCCGTGGAGCCTCGGGGTCTGCAGGCTGTTAAAATCTGCTCCTGTCTTTTGGAGTGAAGTCTTAGTGCATGCTGCCCCCCTGGCTTTGAGGGAAACAGATTTGTTCTCTGCCACTTACATCTTAAAAGGCACAGCCGGAAAGTTCCTTTTGTGCTTTTTCTTTAAACAAGAACTAGACAAAGATTTCCTTCCTGAGCTGGCTGTGCCTTATGACATACTAGCATTTATTCTGCCAAACGGGGCAGTTGGTGGCTCTGTCTGGGGACTTGTAGGAGAGGAGCTCTTTGACCCTTCCTGGGGACCTCCATCTGCCTTTATCTGTTCAGTGTACTGGTTTGCCTGTACAGTCCTGATTTATGCCTGTTGTTCCACAGTTATTATTAATAGCACTCTCTTTCACTTTCAGAAGCATCCCAGTTTGGAGGATAAATTATATGTCACTCACCTATTGTCAGACTAAGCCAGGGATTCTCACTCTTGGCACTAGTGATATTTGAGGCTGGATGATTCTCTGTTGGGGGTGGGGGATCTTCCTGAGCACTGTAGGATTTTTAGCAGCATCGTGGCCTCTATTCACTTGGTGCCAGCTACACCTTCCCTCTCCAGTTGTGACAACCAAAAATATTCTCAGACATTGCCATCAAGTTTCCGTGGGGGGCAAGATTATTCCCAGTTAAGAACTACTGGACTAAGCATTGCAGATTAGTTTTACTTTGAGTGTCATCTCCGATCGATCAGTAGTGGCTGCCTGGAGCCCTGTGCTGGCAAGGATTTGAGACTCGATGCAGGAATTCTGAGATGGATTAGTGCTGTCTGCCGTGGGCACGGGTGGGGCATCACAGCATGTAGTGCCTTGGATTAGGCCGTGGAGGTAGGTGACAGAAGGTGCCAGAATGCCAGGAGGTTTTGACATTATCCTGTTACTGGATGCCCTGGCGGTCCAGGTGGAGAGACGAGGCATGTTTATAGACAGAGATTTGTGGCCCTAGCTACAAAACAAGACATTTGGTGCCTACACCTGCGCCAGCACGACTGAGCCAATGTCAGGTGTCCTGGGAGTTTTGTCAGGTGTGGCGAGGTCGGATCTTGCAGAAAGGCGGTGGTGTGTGTCAGTCAGTAAGTAGTTACAGGGCATCCCAGACGTGCCCAGCGTGGCCTTGGGTGACATGGTCGGTTCACCCTCCTGCCCCTGGCTTTCCCATGTTGTTAATTCGTTGTCATGGCCGTTCCTGGGTCTTCCTGCCTTGGGGATTGGACTGTTCCTCGGAACTCTGTGATGGCACCAAAGGCTTTGAACTGGCCAAGGCCAGGAGAGTGAGAGAGCGTAAACGTTGTGTTGCTGGCCCTTGCCAGGCAGCGGGGGATGGGTGGGACTGTGTCCCGGGGCAGGCACAATGGTCTGCTGTAAAGTTCAGGTGGAAGCAGCTGTGGTCTGCAAAAGGTCTGCCTCGCCTAGGAAATGGTGCTTCTGGATCCCGGGCCAGACCCTCTGGGGTCTCCCCTATGGGGAAAGGTGTGTATGTCTCTACAGGAGAACTCACTGGTTGAGGAATTTGACATGAGCCCAGTTATCTCCCCAGTGAGTAGAAAAAGCCCCTTCTATGTGAATTAGGTAGAATGCCAGGTTTGGTTCACTTTCAGTGACTTTATGGTATTAATATTTTAATGAGTTCCCAGCATTTTGGGGGAAGCAGATCTGCTTTCATTCTAGGCCTAAACTTGTCTGAGAGCAATTTAACCCTTTGCTCTGTGCCAGTCTCCCTTCCCACCCGATCCCTGGTTCCCAAGGGAAGCTGCACCAGAGGTGGTTGGTCACCCAGCAGCCGCTCAGAGTGCCAGTGAGTGTGCACATGCCCCTCGGTGTCTGACCTTTTTCTGTAAACAATGAGGGGTAGAATTTTTGTGTATCTTCACGTCTGAGCATGGCTCTTCGAATTCATACGTAAAGAGGCAGGCACAGATAATGTTAACTGGCTTGTCGAAAAGCCCGCAGAGAGCCAGCCCCAGAAAGCAGTCTCCTGATTTCCTGTCCTGGTGCCTGTTACCCTGGCACAGGCCCGTGGGGCATTGGTGCCCCTCATTTTCTCTGGCTGGTCTTGAAGGAATTCTTATCTCCAGCTCAGTGGTTGGGGGGCACTAGGGGAGGAGAGGCCCTCTCTTTCCTTCTCTCCACATTCTCCCTGCCCCGCTAGTTGTGTCTCCTGTGGAACTGTCTGCTTTCCAATGTCTTTCTGAGGAAAAGTGCCATGTTTGGCAGAGGCTCAGGAAAAAGCTTCAAGGGGCAGAAAAGCTCTGTTTGAATCGACTCACCGGGACAGGCAGCTGAGGAAGGAGCGCCATGGAAGCCACAGATGGGATGACTCTGCTGAAGCAGGAATGCACCCAGCCGGGAGGCCGCCAGCCCTGCCAGCCGTCAGCACACAAAGGCACCGCTGTCTGCTGGGGAGGTTGGGAGCAGGCCCTGTGTGCCTAAATGTGCCTGTGGAGGCAGCGTGGGCTCTCCAAGATGGGGCGTGTTCTGTGTCTGCACCTGCTGGTCTCTCTGTGCTGGCTGAGCTGAGCACCTACTGTGTGTGTGCCGGGCACTCTGCAGAGAGTGTACAGACAGCAGGCTGGGGCCTGCCTGGAGGAGGTGACTGTTTCGTGCTCAGAGACAGGCAAATCAGCTTCAAGATGAGAGCCAGAGACTAGCACAGAGGAGGGGCGCCCCACCGAGCCTCGAGAGCTTCTGGGGTGGGTACGGGCCTTTGATAGATGACACAGCACTTCTATAGGGCACCAAAAAGGGGCTGCTGGGCCTGTCTCAGCCTTAGACTTGGGAATAGTGCCACGTATTGCCTTTGAGCAAGAGGAAGTGTGTCGTGGAGGAGAGACTGTGGGTTTTGGACTAGACAGAGCAGGAATCTGCCTCTTTAGCTTCCTAACTGCAACCTGGCTGGAGCAAGTCAACTCACTCTAATTGAGCCTTTGTCCTCTTGTCCTCCTCTTGGGCTTCATGACACTCCTGGGCAGGGCCATGGTAAGAAGTAAGACGCCGTGTGTGTGATGCCTGCGATAAGTACCTGTTAGAGCTGGCAGTAGGAGTCCAAACACTTCTTGACTGAACTGCCCCGCCTTCCACGGAGGCTTCAAATCGCTCATTCCTTCCGTCCACACTCCTGCTCGCTTAATGAAGGTGATGGCCAAATGCATCTTCCAGGCAGCCATTTGAATCTCCCCAAAAACACTCTCCCGAGAGTCCAGGTGCAGGAAGTGAGTTGTCACAGCCGCCCCTGCAGCGACCGCGCCACACACTGGAACGCGATAGCAGACGCGGTCCTGGCTTATCTGGTCTGGTCCACGCAGAGCTGAGGCCTGGGGCTGATGTGGCCTCAGTGGAGCTTTAGGAGATGTGCTTGATCCAGAGTTGGTTCTTCTGCAGCCCTGAGACACTTTTCTGTTCCCTGGGATGCTGGTGGACCAGACAGGTGCTGTGGGAAGCAGGCCCTGGGCCACCACCCAACACCATGGCTGCAGCCGGGAGGCGCTGTCCTCGAGCTGATGCGAGCTGGCTGCTTTGTGCTGCTCCTCCAGGAAGGAAAGCCCGGCCCCAGCATGAGGCTGCTGAACTACCCATGGTCCTGCCTGTCAGTCTCATTTCTAGAACTTCTTCTTTCTAGAAGAGGAATCTGCAGTTAACGGGCCCTTTTCAAGGATTCAGCGTTAGGCTTACTTTTTTTTTTTTTTGTAAATCCAACCCAACAGGCCCACCATGCTTTGCTCTGGGCCCACTGAGCGGGAGATAAAAAGGAAGTGGCCTCTTAGAACCTGAAATTTTGGGTGGGGGTGTTTGGAAGCTTTGCCCAGTGTTTTTTGTTTCTGCTCCCCATCCCCTGAAATAAACCAACAACAAAAACTCACATCAAATCCCTAATCACTAAGCCACTTCGTGCTTTTGGCCTCCCGTGACGAGTTCTCTTGCTGCCTGGTGAGTGTCACCTACCAGCCCGTTTTTCCTGTTCTCTCCAGCTCTGGCTTAGAGACTTCAGTTGAACTGTGTCCCAGTTTGTCAGGGCTGAACAACAGTGTGTTCAGAGAAAGGAGTTGCTTTCTTTTACATACCTGATTTCTGGAATGAAGTTATCAGTTGAGAACCAAAGTAATTCCCTACAACTAAAGAAAGATAAATGAACTGAAAAGCTGCAGGTATAAAAGTTGGGATTCTGCACGTGGCTTCTGTCAAATTTGTTTAGTCTTGACCAAGGCTGTCAGCCCCGTGTGGACCTTGATCATAAACTCCATAAACTCTTGAGACCCCAGGTTTTCTTTTGGCAAACAGACAGTACTGATGGGGGCTCAGGATGTCATTCCCACCTGGCTTTGGGATTCTTCCTGAAGATCTTGTCTCTTCCACATGAGCTGGTCCACAGATACAACAGGGCACAGGTCTAAGCTGAAAGGAGAGGAAGCGTGAGCCGTGCTCCAGGAGTGAATCCTAGCCTAACAGTCACCGACATGCCTTTCCTTCTACCGACCGCTCCTCCGAGGCAACGTGTTCATGCGCTGTTAACTGTTCACCTCCTACCATTGATGTCCCTGGTGCTCTCAAGCACGTTTGACTCATCAAAAGGAGTTTCACAAAGCTGGTTGCTGTCTTTGCAGGCCTGTTTGTGCTCCAACAGGGAGCTGAGTTTGTCATGAGCAGTGCCTGGCTGTGTCTGCCATGCTCCCTGTGTGTGTCCCAGCTCCTTCCCTCTTATTCCCTGTTGATCCAGCCCTCTGCAGAAGTCAACAGGGGCCCCTCCTGCTTTGTCTTTCCTTTTCGCAAGGGAAATGTTAGGTAGGAGCAAGGCGGAACCGGACTGGGAGTGTCCCGGTGGCATGTGCTGTGGGTGGTCAGCACTCGTATGTGGTTTTGAATTTCCCTCCAGTCTGACAAACCTGTTGGAGCTGCCTTGGCAACAACCCCAGAAGGAGAAGTTTCCCCCTCCTGGCCCCACCCACAGAAACAGCAGTGCTGTTTCTGGCAGATTTGCCTGTGTGCTGGGAACTTACCTGTGTTTTCCTAATGCATTTTGGCCAAGAGAAGGCTTGTTTGGGGCCTCGCTTAGTCTGACATAATGAAAGTTAAGAGCAATACCTTGAGGTTTTTTTTTTTTTTTTTTTTTTTTTTTTTAATTATCCAGAGTGTCTGGAGGGGGAGGGCTACCCATTCTCTGCCTCCTATAAGTGGGGACTTGGGTCTCAGCAGGTTCAAACCAGGTTCCACCTGGGAGATCACAGGGGCTATGGGGCAGAGGCACTGGGCCGAGTCGAACTGGCTTCTGGTGTGGATGCTGCTGAGCAGGCATGTCCCTTGGTCTGGGCCTACCGTGGTGGCCTGGAGGGCACACTCGCCCATGACCACATTGTGTGCCTGGGAGCGACGGAAGGGGCTTCCTCCTTTGCTGGCAGATTGCTAGGCAGGCAGGCTGCCAGGAAGCTCCACCCCACTCGGCACAGATCTGCAGCCTCTGCTAATATGAAGCATCATTTTGCACTTGCTTTTCTTCACCTCTCTGTTTGCCTCCCAAAGACTTGTAACCCAAGCTTGTGAATTGAGCTGGCTGTGGAGAAGCAGAGCTTCTCGTCATGAGAGTGTCGCGGCCCTTTCTTTGCAGCACTGAGGCAGGCCTGCGGGAGGTGCCGAGTGCTGTGCTCATAGGGGTGTTCGATGGAGGGGAGTCCTGGGGTGCGTGAGGTTTCCAGAGACCTGAGTTCTCAGCCCCATTTGTGCAACTCTGATCAAGCCATCCTGGCAACGCAGGGCAGGGCTCACAGTGCCAACACATATAGCAAGCCACCCCCCAGGGGCCACTCTGGAGTTTCCCTGAAAGCAGAAGACTCCCTGGTGGTGGAAAGTTTTGGTCCCATTTGTCTCAGATTATCCCATCAGTCTCACCCAACGTGGGCATGTTGTCCAACCTGAAACTGCCCTTTTTCCTGTTTTTCTTTCTTGGCCCATACCCATTTCTCAAGAAGCCCAGTGGAGCCGAAGATGGGGTCCTGCAGGGACCTCTCCCAGGTGGAGCCCGAGAGAGCTGCTCCATGCTGGAACCTCGGGAGGTGTGATCTTGGGAGCTGGGTGATGAGTCAGTCCCAGCAGTGGCTGCTGGTGAAGCAGGCCCCTTCCTCTGTACTTCCTGTTGGGCTGATGTCACCGCTCTGCGAGCCTCGTGGCCTTTTATGGACAAGAGTGAGCTGCAGCTCCTCTCACAGAGGAAGTGAGGCTTAAGCCCCCAGCAGAAGTCTGCACCTGGGATGAAATACCTGCGGTCAGGTTCCCCTTCCTCCCTCCTGGGCCCAGCCTGCTGAGCTGGCTGGAAACACCTGTCCACAGGTAGATGGCCACATCAGCTCAGATGCCCTCACTGCATGGGCTTGGCCTCAGGACATTTTCGGTTGAAAATGAAATCCAGGGAGAAAATGGCCTGGTTCCTGAATTTGTAACTTTTATGAAAGACTTTCTCGTGGCGGTGCCAGGGAATTGCTCAGTTGGGAGCTCCGAGACAGCAGGCGGGTGAGGACGGCATGTCTGGGCATCTGCCTCACACCGTGTACGACAGGAACACCATTTCCTTCCATCCTCAGAGCAGTCCCTTCATTCCCAGAGAGGTCAAGGGGCCAGGCATTGCGTGGGGAAGAGCGGAACCCAGGGCCACAGCGCTCTCGGCTGTGGCTTCCTCCTTTGCAGAACTGCTCCAGACACATGGACTAGTGGTTGTCAAACTGTGCTCTGAGGAACCCTGTCTCCACCACCCACTGTCCCTTGCTCAGGAATTTGGGAAGATTTTATCTGAGGAAGGACTGCCGCTGCTTTTTGAAAAGTCTGAAAACTACTGCAGAGTGACTCATAACCCCATCTCTACCCCACCCTCACCAAGAGAGGGGCTGGGGCAGTGGGTTCAGGCGCCTACCACGGCTAGACTTTCATCTGGCAGGGGGCTCGTGTCCCAGAAGAGGCTTGTCCCTGGCGGCCTCCTCCCGTTTAGAGGAAGGAAGGGCGTTTTCAAATAAGCCTTCAGTCCTTACAGGCCAAATAAGGACTCGAGCCAAAACAAGCAGATTGGGCCGGACTCTGAATGTGCTCATCCTGTGAGATGACAGTGCGGGGAAGGGTTGATGGGGTGGGCGCCAATGGCAGTCTCCACTAGAATGCATAGGGTGGGGAGGTGGGCTGCAGAGTAAACTGAGTAGGCCAAAGAGCCCACTGGTTGCTAAGAATTCTAACCACCCCACTGCCCAGAAGAGATGCCTCTGAGATCAGGAACAAATCCAGAAGAACCGCTGTGTGGAAAGATGGCAAAACAATGATGATAATACCTGCTTTGTACATTACAATACAATACCTTGTAAGGTTATTGGAGGCCACACAAGATAACAGACCAAAACCCTTCCTGAGCATTGGAAAGACCTTTTCGGTTGCATGGGGCCATGGTACGATTCGTGGTGCATCCGGCCGGTGGATTTAGGATACTAAGCAGTGCGGTAAGAGATGCAATGAGGAGGCCTCCCAGCAGTTTGCCTTTCAGAAAGCATTTGTCCAGATGAATGTTCCTGGCAGAACAAATCCAGATTTCTTTAAGGTATGGTTAGGCTGTGTTGACAGTGGTAAATTGGCTTCAGGAATTGGACGGGGAAGGCTGGAGAAGTGGGAGAGCTAGGGACGCTCGGGTGGATGGAGAGGAGACACTGAATTTGGCTCTGGGGTTTCGGAATTTGAAGTGTGTGTGCCTGTGCATACATCCGTGTGTGTGCATGGCTATGTACATACATGTATGTTCACATTCACCTGTGAATACATGTGCCTTGCGTGCCTGTGTTTGCACTTGTGCTTGTGGATATGCATCTGTGAATGCGTGTGCAGCTGTGTGCCTTGTGTGGATCTATGTATATGGCTTTGCACACGTGTGTGCGCATGTATTTCTGTGCACACGTACCTCTGTACACCTACCTCCATATGTGACTGTGTATGCACAGATGCTTGCGTGTCTATGTGTGTGTCCATGCCCTTGTGCGTGCGTGCGCCTCTGTGTGCATGCCCTCGAGTGTGTTTGGGGGCTCTGCTTCCTGTTGTTCAGCAGCAGAGCCTCTGACTCCTCCTCACACAATTAGAGGAATTCCAGCCATCCTAGGGACAGCCCTGGGAAAACGGTTCCTCTGGAAGGGTTGGGGAATGTTTCCTTTTATGGTAGCATTGGGCCGTTGGCTGCTCACGACTTGCCAGCACTCGCAGGTACATTCTTGCCTGCTAGTAGAGCCGGTGACTAAACATGCCCACAGCTGGGGCAGACCACAGGGAGACGCAGTGGGGGAGGGCAGGGGGCTGGGATGACAAAAATGTTTGTTCCAAACCCTTATCGGTTGCCACACTGTCGTTAGGGGCCAGCAATGAAATTGCTCTGTCTTCCCCAGGCTGTGGTTCCTGCCGCCTCCCTCCCTTCTGTCTTCCCGTCTGTCTAGTCGAGGATGCAGGTCTCTAATCTCTGTCCTCGCTGTGCAGGCTTGAAGGACTCGTGTTTTTTGAGAAAGGCAAGGGGGAGTAAGGCTTGCCTCCCCTAGAGCTTGCCTCCTGAGTAGTTTCCACATCAGAGAGCAGGGTGTGGGGTGTGTTTGTGAATGAGAGTGACCCAGCCCCTCTGCGCCCCCACCCCGTTGATGCTTAGGGGGCTGGGAGGAAGCTGCGGCCCAGGGCAGGGGCAGCTGCCATTGGTGTTGGGTGTGAGGTTTGTTTTTTCTTCTTTCTGTCTGGGCTTCCTTTTCCCTCCTGAATGACCAGTGGGCAGAAGAAGAGATTGGAGGCAGTGCCCAGCCCCACACGCTGCTGAGGTCAGGCATGCTAGAAAGCTCACCTCGGAAGAGGCAGGCAGCCTAGCTGGTCGGTGGCTACTGGTGTTGAACGGTTAAATGTGTCTCCTGAGGCCATGCACGTGGAAAGCCGTGAGTCATTCTCCCAGTGCCTAGTCACGCAGGGCCCTGACCAGGTGGTGCGAGCCACTCAGTGTGTCCTTCACACGTCGCTGAATCCGTGTTTCCACCCAGGGCTGATACTGTACCAACAGCCACGGATGCTCCCACTGCCCTGACAACGCCACTGCCACCCATCGTGGCGACGTCGCGTTGGGGAAGTCGGTATAGACAGCAACCGTTTGTGGAGCTTACTGTCTTTACAGGGACTGCGGCAGGTCCATTTTATGTGTTATTTCTATTTTTCAAACTAATCCTGCAAGGGAGTTAGTAGCAGATCTTACTTTGTGGATGTAGAAACTGAGACTCAGAATTAAATACCTCACTGCAGCTCAAATATTTGTAAGTAGCCTGATCCTGGATTCAGGCCAATTTGACTTCAAGGACGGTGAGGCTATTAGATGGGGCGGGATAAAACGGAAAAAAATGAGTTTATATTTTCAGCTGTTGCTTGAATACCCAGTACTGAACAGCCAGGATGCCTTAGTGTTTCTGGCAAACTTAGCTTTCAGAGTGTGGGCATTACTGCCCCTCCTGTACTGGGGGAGGGTGGGTATTTATAACCTTCCTTGCCGAGCAGTTCATAGAGCTGTTGATAGTTGCTGAAAGTTCCTGACACCCGGCTAGAGAACAGGTTGTCACAGAAACCCATCAGAAGCTGTCATTCTTTACAAGCTGCCTCTAAAGTGACATCATTGCACGCCTTCCACTTGCCAGACACCGTGCTGGTGTGTTCACATGTGTTGTGGACACAAGTACTGTTATCCCACGCTGCGGAGGAGGGAGCTGGGGCTCAGAGAAGCCTGCGCACCTGTCCCGGGTCTCAGGCTGTGAGGCAGCATCTTATCCCAGGGCTGTCCCGTTGCAAAGCCAGGCCTCGTCACCCCTCCTTCCCCAGCCTCTTAAATGGTGCTCCTTCCTTCAGTGGGGATGGTATTTAGAGCACCTGCAGCAGGCTTCTTTCTAACAGCTTCAGCCCCCCACCCCGTTATAAACACACAGGGCAGGTCCCACTCAGCTCCCAGGGAAGTCGACTCCTGGAGAGTTTTCCACACACTAGTTCCTCTAAGGTGGGAGACACAGAACTATTTCTGGTTTTCTGGTGGGGGCTGAACAGCGTGGGTGGACAATCTGAGCTCCTGGGCGGCAGGAGCAGCTGCCCAATGGCACTCTCCCCCGAAGATGCTCCTCCTAGCCAGGTGTGAGGGTAGACTGCGAGATCCCCACAAAGACAGCATCTGTGACACTGTGCTCCCTGTCTGGGAAACGGGCAGCTCTTTGGGAGCAAGGTGGGGAGGCTTTTGCATCTGGCGGGAGTTAATCTGATGTCTTCTTTGTTTCAGACCGAGAAGATCAATCCATCTTGTGCACGTAAGTATTTCTCCGTCTGGGTAGTGGTTCGTTTCACCCCAGTCTGTTCTCATTCTTGAGGTCTCCTACTGAAACCACAACTGGGGCTTGCAGAGTCCCCCATTCCCAATTCAAGGCCCCTCCTCCACTTCTCCAAGGGATAGGACTTCAGTTTGTGTGTTTGCTACTCAGTGGTCCCACTGCATGGATGAGCTCAATTTCAATCATCCTTCCTCAAGGAGCCAGTGGGAAGGAGGGTGGAGCTTATGGCAGAAAGGAAAAGCAAGATCTCTCCACAATCCAGCTGGGAACCAGCTCCTCCGTAACTTCTGGGTGGAAGGCATTCCTTCTTGCTCTGGATGGTGGCTTTTCTTTACCTGAATTGAAGTAGACACTGGGGCCTCTCAGCCTCTGAACTTAACAAGGAGATCCATAAACCCCATTGCCAAGAGAGTTAATGGCACAGAACATTCCTTTAAGTGACGTTTCAAAGGAACATGTACAAGTGCCTTTGACCCCTAAGTCCACAGCTGCCTAAAACTGATTTTTAAAACACTTGGATGTGAAGTCACTTGCCCTGACAAGTGACCAGGACAGGCAGTGGATTTCAGTTTACTTCTGTCTGGCCCCTGGAGAGCCATGGGAAGTGAACTGCCTGAGGATTCCAGAGCGTTTATGTGGCAGTCCCGTTTTCTGCCACACGTTGGGTCCTTCACGGGCACCCAACAGAATGCGAGGCAGTGGAGCGTGCAGTGGGAAGGGACAGAGGTCAAGGACTTGGCCATGCCTAAGCCCGGGACTTCCTTGCCTCTCTTGGTAGTGGTGAATCTGGAGCTGGCAAGACGGAGAACACCAAGAAGGTCATCCAGTATCTGGCGTACGTGGCGTCCTCGCACAAGAGCAAGAAGGACCAGGTGAGTGCTGCAGCCCTTGTCCCTGTGGCCGCCTGCTTGGCCTTGGTGGGATGATGGAGGAAGAGCACTTAGTGGTCCCGGCTTCAGCTTTACAAGAGGATGCTTTGGGGAATGAAGCAGAGGCTGGGCCCATTTCCATTGAGGCAGTGGCGTGGCCTGTCCTGGGAGTGGTCCAGCGGTAGCAAGCCCATTCCATCCTTGGCCTCCTAGCCTTCTGAGTTGCTATGGAAACTGGCGAGGTCCTGGAGTTTGCATGGCAGCCCTCTTGGCTTTTGCAGCTCGTTGCTGTGTGTCCTCCCCTTCTGAGGCTGGAAGGCAGATTCCAAGACTTGGTCCTCAAGTTGATGGAGGCTTGAAAGGTCTCAGGCAGACCTGTATTTGATTCCATTTCTTTTCCCTGCTGTTGAAATGCCTCTGGGTGGACAGCCACCCACCCCCACCACCCCAGCGAAGACAGAAAGGGCAATTGGAAAGTCATCTCACCTCCATTTTTTTCCTCTCCCTTTTGATGGATTATGGTTGAACCCAGCAGTGTCCTCGCTAGGTGAGCTGCACGTTTACTGCACGTTCTGCACTGGGAATGCGTGTTCTGCCCATCGTGTGCCCTTGAATTCTGTATTTTGTTCTAAGCAGCTTTTCACCCCACACTTGTCACTTTCTGCAGCTAGAACTCTTCTTTTAGGCTCAGCTCACTGACTGTCTTGGGAGGAGGGGCTGGGTGTGGCACACAGTGACCTCCTGTGCACTCTGAAATGACAGCTCCTGCAGAATGGGGACGGGCCTCACACCTAGTTGTTCTCAGAAACTCCAGTCATGCCCAGATTTCCCCACAGCGCACCATAGCTGTCATGTCCCATGCGGAACCTGACCCCGGCACGGTGGATGGGGACTCCGCTCTCACGGAGCCCTCCACGCTCTGTGGTCCAGACCAGATGCAGATGGCCGGCTGCCCTCACCTGCCACCGCCGTGCCAGTCAGAAGCAGTGCCGGGGAGTTCTCACGTTGGAGTTTTTCAGAGGTTGGGGTGATCAGACTTAAGCATGGCTGTGGGATGCTCTCTCTCAAGCACACACTCTTAACCTCCCCTGTGAAAGCTAAGTGCCAGTGGTGTTCCTTGAAGCCATCAGGGGAGCTTGGCCGCTCCCGGTGGCTCCACCTTACTGGCGTGCCGTGTGCGGCCTTCGTAAGTAAGGAGGGGTGTGAGTCTGCATGCAGGTCTGGGGTGTGGCCTGCAGAATGGCCTAATGAGTACAGTCTTCTGGAACCGAACCAAAAGTAACTTTTCATGTGCCAAGCTTCTCAAGACGTTTGGAATCTTTTTCCATGGGGCGTCAGGAGTTATATTTAGAAACTAATACAGTTTCTTTTCTTCTGTCTCCCTCTCTGTCTCTCTCTCTCTCCATCCCTCTCTCCCTCCCTACCCCCGATTTTCCATTCTTTTTAGGAGGCCTATTTTAAAAACAGAGCTGTGAGGTTAGGAGTTCTCTAGCTGTGCTTTTCCATCTCTGAATTTGCAGTAAAATCCATTTCCCAAGTATTTATTGACTGCCTAGTATGTGACTGGTTCTTGGGAGGGTGACATTGGAGTTCCTGTCCTGAAAGACAGGAGACAGGACACGGAGAGCAGTGAAATAGATCATATGCCTTACATCTGGGGTTCCTGTTGTAGAGGGGAAGGCAGCACTCAGCAAAGACAGCATGCTGGGGTTGGGGGTGACAGTGGGAGCCACGTTGTCAAAACGCAGACTTTGGTAGGCACCCCGTCCCTGCCCTGAGCCCACTAGAGTGAGGGAGTAGGTTGCCCCAGGCTTCCAGTCATAGCTCAGGCTGTCAGCGTGAAAGACCATTGGCCGGTTTGGTTGATTTCCTTGCCTGAAGCTGTGCTGTGATTTTCCACAGGCTGCCGGAGCACAGAACACCCTTGAATTGGTTTGGGAGCCAGCGCTCTCTCACTTGCAGTGACCGAGTTGACCCTCCCAACACCAGCAGAGGGGTTGTTCCAGACCTCACCTTGCTGCGGGGAGGCCAGGTTTGGCCTGGGCCGCAGGTTGGCAAAGCAGAGCTTGGTCCAAGGGGCTTTCCAGGCAGATGCCCGGATCCTGAACGGTGACCTTTGACTCTCCCTGCTCTGTTATTTGTGTACGAGCTGGGGCCCACTGGCAGAAACACCACCCAGTGAAGCCCTTCAGAAACCGATGGGTAACCCCAAACCTCATACAGTACCGCATCATTTCATGTTACGCAGATTTCATTGAAAAATTAAAATCTCTTCTGTGCCCAATTAGATGTCAGTAGAGAAAAAGCCATAGGTTAGTCATCACTGTTGTCAGCAGGGAACACAGCTCTGGAATCTGAAGTGGCTGCTCCCGACTTGGCCCCGCGGCCCCACTTTCCACGGCAACAGCGTGTGGTCCCAAACAGAGGCCTCAGTTCGCCTCCCAGCCAGGGCGAGCACAGGCAATGGAGGGGCCGCGCTCCCTTCTGTCTGCGGGAATGGGAGCGGTTCAGCCAGCCTGGCAGCCTGGCCTGTGCTCTGAGAGGAACGGCGTAGTGGGTGGGGGAGCCATTCTCATCCAAGTCTGGCTCCGTGGGCTGCCTCAGCCGACTTCCCAGGCCCGCCCGAGGCCTGTGGGTGGAAGCCCGGTGTCCAGTTACCACTGGTGCCCAGCGCACACGTAGAGCCTGCTCTGTGGGCTTGACCCCTGCCCTCTGACCTGGCCCTGCTGACCCTCCTTCAGGGGCGGGCACTAGAGCAATGCCCTCACTTGTCTGGATGGTTCACAAGCGGAAGGCTTCCTAGCCCTGGGTTGGGGGGTCCTGGCCTAGGAGGGCTGCCAGAGGAAGAGTCTCTGCTGTGTCCCTTGTGGTCTCAGGTGGGCTTCCAATCTGGCTCGGCTAGACTCCAGAGTGTCCCCGGTGCCCTGCAGATGGGTCTCGTCTGTGGCAGGTGTGCTTGTAAGGCCAGGGTCCATGGCTCTCCTGGGAGCTCCTACTCCTCCTAGTTCTCCTTGTCATCACTCACAGGCGGCTGCTGTTCCCGGAAAACCCTGGCTTGCCTCCAGTCTTTAATAAATACAAAGGCTTGCCTGGCCCTTGTGTGACGTTCTTTCCCCCAGAGGGCACTCAGGCATTAAGGGGAACCAACTCCCTAGTTTCCTTAGCCAGCGTTAGTTAGTCCCTGGTGGCATGGGCCTGTTGCACAGGTGCGAAGACAGGGCAGTGGCTGACAGGTTAGGGAGGGGACTGGAATTCCGCCACCCCGCTCTGCGGATTGATAGCTGGATGACCTTGAGCACCCCTCCCTTGGCCTCAGCTTCCTCTTCTGTGAAATGGGGCTGCTCTGTCCTGCCCCGTGAGTATGGTGGGGATCCAGGGATAAGAAGGCACAAGGGTGCATTTTGTCTACCACAAAGCACCCTGGAGTTCACAGTAGGATTTATTGACATTCTCAGTAAACAGCCTGGAGCCCAAAGTGGGCCTCATGGATCCCGTGCTCACTGCCTGTCATGGTGGTTTTGGACGCGGCAGTGGAGGGGCTGGTACAGAAAGTGAAGCATTTATCAGGACACAGATGAGATGAGCGTGTATATTTTCCAGATCCGATCCCCTCATTTGCTTTTCCTATGAAAAGGAATAAAAATGTGAGGATTAGAGGCAAGGAGGTAGAGGGAAGCTGGTGTATACAGGGTGGAGACACTGTCCCAGGGTGTCTGTGCCGCCGGCTCCCTAGTTTAAGTGCTGCTTTCACATGGGTCGTCCAGGGCCAGGTTCCTAGAGCTGAGGGAGCTTCCTGCCTGCCGTTTCCAGGGCCATGGAAGTAAGTTCAAACTGACCAAGGTTTCCAAAGCCTGGCGGGAAGGCCGCACTTGGATGATACCGGGGCCTGGCCTTGGTTGGAGTCGCACACTGGAGCCCACCCGGAAACCTCTGTTCCTGGCACGTTGGACATGCTGACACGGCTCTGCCATCGTCCCCCTTCCAGGCAGGGCAGGCTCGGCAGCCCAGGTCGCTGCCCGGCCTTCACTGCGTCCCTGGGTTCCTTGCAGGGCGAGCTGGAGCGGCAGCTGCTGCAGGCCAACCCCATCCTGGAGGCCTTCGGGAACGCCAAGACCGTGAAGAATGACAACTCCTCCCGCTTCGTGAGTAGCGCGGCGGCGCCCCGGCTCTGGGGACAGAGGGCCTTGCCCGGAGCTTTGGCTCATGCTGCCTTTTCCTGGGTGCCCTCCCCTCAAAACCGAGGACGGTTCAGACTCGGTGCTATCTGGCCTGTCGTGTGGACTAGGCCAGACCGAATGCCAGTTGGTGTGGACCTGCCCTGCCCCTCTTAAGGACGAAGGCCACGAGTAGCTTCTTCAGCCTCCCTCATGAGAGGTGGAAAGGCCAGTGAGGGCGCTGCCTGCTGTGCCCCAGAGTGCTCAGCTGTCACCAGTAGCCAGTTAGTTCCCGGGTCAGGCAGAGAGGAACACTTCCACATAACTGGTCTCTTTCCCCCTCTGCGGAGGAACCTGGGTGTGGGATCAGCTTGTCTCAGGCTCATGGCCTTAGGCAGTGTGGCGCCTGAGTCCCGAGGTCCCGTGTGGTGTGGGCGTAGGGGGCCCCTGGCCTGGTACATGGGTCCCGTCTCTGGGTTTTCTCCCTCCAAGCTGTGCCCACCGGAGGTGGGGCGGGGGGCTGTGGTCTCCCCCGTGCTCTCTAGCTCCCCATGTCAGGGGCACCTCTGATCTCTTGCTATCCTTTCTTACTTAGGGCAAATTCATTCGCATCAACTTTGATGTCAATGGCTACATTGTTGGAGCCAACATTGAGACTTGTATCCTTGTGGTTCGTTGGGATAAGAGTCCTGGATCCGGAGGGGAGGCATGACCTCTGTAGAGAAGAAGCTGCCTCCTGATTCCAGCACTTTCCCCTTTATGGGCCCATCCTGACACCTTCTCTGTGGAGCTAGGGGACTGTCAGGATCGGCTAGTGCAAACCCAACACAGAGCTTAGGGCTTTCCTTATTTACAGGCAGGATAACCTGTGCTTTGAATGGCATGGAGCTGTTGAAAGCCGTCTAGTGTGGCTCCCAGAGGTAGGCGTTTGGGGGATGCCACTCTCCTGCGTGCCACCGTTTAGCCTTTGCTTGTGGGAATGTTCTTGTTCCCATTACCTGTAAGAATGAGACAAGGCTCTCGAAGGTGTGAGCTCCTCTTGGACATGCCATGCCCCTTGAAGGTGAGAACCCAGGTAGTTTGCTTTTGCTGTGTTTTGCCATTTTGTGCCATTCTTCCTTCCTGGTGAAGTTCAGTTCCTTTGGACGAGAATAAGAGGACAATGGAAGGCTGGCCAGGCACAGTGGCTCACGCCTGTAATCCCAACACTTTGGGAAGCTAAGGTGGGTGGATCACCTGAGGTCAGGAGTTCAAGACCAGCCTGGCCAACATGGCAAAACTCTGTCTCTACTAAAAATTAGCTGGGTGTGGTGGTGGGCGCCTGTAATCCCAGCTACTTGGGAGGCTGAGGCAGGAGAATCGCTTGAATCCAGGAGGTGGAGGCTGCAGTGAGCCGAGATCATGCCACTGCACTCCAACCTGGGTGACAGAGCGAGACTCTGTCTCCAAAAAAAAAAAAATGAGGAAAGTGGAGGGCTTGCCTTCTCCCCAGCTTGTGTTGCTCCTTAATATTTGCAAAGATCTTTTGGAGAAATCTCGTGCTATCCGCCAAGCCAAGGAAGAACGGACCTTCCACATCTTCTATTATCTCCTGTCTGGGGCTGGAGAGCACCTGAAGAGTGAGTAGTTGGCCTGCAGCCTGACACCGGGGCTGCCGGGCTCTGGGCCTCTTGCCAGAATTGGACCGTAGACATCATTTGGGAAATGAAAACTTTTGGCCTTGGGTTTAACGGGGAGAAGTGAGAGTGACTCCTGTTCTCTGCGCCATCCTAAGGACTTGGTCTTCTGTTTCTGACCATGCCAGAGAAAAGCTAGGGTGGGTTGCACATGTAGCTGCAAATCACAGGACCTGGCGCTCTCCTGGGCCAGGAGACGGGAGTGTCAGAGTCTCAGACACTGAGGAAAGCTGAACGTCACTGGCTACTCTGCGGTTTCCAGGGTGCGTCAGGGCTCAGGGTCTGTCCCAGTCTCTCCAACCTTTGAGGTCACAGCGCTGATGGAGCCTCCACTTTCAGCACCTCGCTGAGGCGCCCTTGCCCTCCACCCCTTACAGCCGATCTCCTGTTGGAGCCGTACAACAAATACCGCTTCCTGTCCAATGGACACGTCACCATCCCCGGGCAGCAGGACAAGGACATGTTCCAGGAGACCATGGAGGCCATGAGGATTATGGGCATCCCAGAAGAGGAGCAAATGGGTACAGGGCTGGCCCTCCTATGGTCGAGTGTGGGGCAGAGGAAGGCTGGTACCCACGGCCTCGGGGCATCAGGGTAGCCGATGGGCCTGGGGAGCCTGCTAGAGGCCAGGGGAAGGGGAAGGCCTTCAGTGTATGGGAAAATGATTCCTCAGATTTGAGGTTCAAGGTTATTTGTTCCTGGTGGTACCACAGGCATTCAGAAAGGGTGCAAAGGACATGTTCTTAACTGCCCAGGACTCGGGTCCACTGCACAGCCCTTGCCATTTGCTGAAAGTAGAATATTCACGTCCTGTCTCGGGGAGTGTGGAAGAAGCTGGGGATAGATGGGTGCTTTGTGCTGGTGAAGCCCAGCATGAATGGCAGTGCGGACAGGCCATGTCGGCCAGGAGGGGGTGAGCCCTCTAGGGTGGCTGGGCCCACCGCACACCGTTAGACGCAGACCTGGCGCCCCTGTGGCCCCAGGGAGTTGGGGGGTGTCCCTGCTTGGCTTGTCTGGCTTGAGGATCCCTAGATGAGTGGCCCCCACCCCCGGGAATCACCATGACCCATGTCTGCTTCTGAGCTGCCTCTGATTGCACCCAAAGGCCTGCTGCGGGTCATCTCAGGGGTTCTTCAGCTCGGCAACATCGTCTTCAAGAAGGAGCGGAACACTGACCAGGCGTCCATGCCCGACAACACAGGTAACACCCGGGGCCTCTCGCTGGAAATAATGGGGCAGGTGCTTGGCCATGGATTTGCTCAGGAGGGAAGGTCTTGCGGAAATTCCGGACACTATTCTTTTTAATGTTAGTATCTGTCGGTATTTTCTATACAGATGTAAAACACACGTAAACATGACCCTGCTTTTTTTTCTCACCAAGTAAGCATTTCAGAATAACTTAAACTTGTGATCATGTGGACCAGGGCTTCCCTTATTCATTCCTGAGACCAAACCATTCGTCAGGACACCAATGATTTCTGCCGTAGCTCCTCCTTAATGGGAGCCTTGCCTGTGACTATGTCGAGATCTTGAAATTATGTCCTTGCCACACCCGATTCAGCCCCTTTGTTAGGGTTGCTGCAAATGACCCCATGCAAGTTATTCAGTCTTAATGTGCCCTCCTTAGGGTCTCTCTAAAGATGTAACGCATGGGTGTGTGGATTGTAAAAGACACTCCTGACCGGGCGTGGTGGCTCACATCTGTAATCCCAGCAGTTTGGGAGGCTGAGGCGGGCAGATCACGAGGTCAGGAGTTCGAGACCAGCCTGGCCAACATTGTGAAACCCCATCTCTATTAAAAATACAAAAATTAGCCGGGCATGGTGGCGTGCGCCTGTAATCCCAGCTACTTGGGAGGTTGAGGCAGGAGAATTGCTTGAAGCCAGGAGGTAGGGGTTGCAGTGAGCCGAAATCGCGCCACTGCACTCCAGCCTGGGCAACAAGAGCAAGACGCCGTCTCAAAAAAAAAAAAAGACATTCCTGTGGGATCCTGTGCTGTTCCGTGCCCCAGCACCAGGTTGGCCTGCTCCTCTCAGCCCCATTGGTGGGTAGGGACCTGCTTTTACACTCTGAGGAGTGCGGCTGAGAGTGGACAGAGGAACCACTGCTGCCGCTGTGGCCTCCAGCCAGGACGCCTTCCTCTCTGCCCCGTGGGGCTCAGGGGAGGTACAGCTGCCCTGCCCACTGACCTGTATGTGGCTGCTGAGTCTGGGGGGTGCTAGGTGTCTGTGGCCCTGCTAAAGAAGGGCCCAGATGCGGTTGTCCTGGTAATGATTGCTCATTCACCCCGTGGCTTTCTTCCTCTCTGCTCCCAAGTCAAGCAGAGGGACTTATTCTCTTGGGTCTAATTAGAACTTTCTCTCTTGGGTCTAATTAGGACTTTTTGTCCCTCTCTTATTCTCTGAAAAATCTTAGCTGCCCAAAAGGTGTCCCATCTCTTGGGTATCAATGTGACCGATTTCACCAGAGGAATCCTCACCCCGCGCATCAAGGTGGGACGGGATTACGTCCAGAAGGCGCAGACTAAAGAGCAGGTATGTCCTCTGGGGCCAGGGCAGCTGGCTGCCTCCTGGGTGAATGTCCCTGCAGCAGCACAGTTGAGGCTGTTGTGGGCCATCCTGGGGTGTCCGTGTCAGGCACTTTCACATGATTCCATGATGCAGTCCTCACAGCAACCCGGAGAGAGGTGGCATAACGCCATCTAGAGCACTGGAGAAGCTTCATGGCACACTCAAGGCTTCACGCCCAGGAAGTGCCATCCTGAGACTGCATTGTGCCTCTTTACATTGAGATGGTATTTTGGCTGATTGGTCATCAAGGATATAGGCATGTCCTGTCTGGTATAAAAGCAGGAACTTGATGCCACTGTAGCTGAACTCCTTCTGGTGCCAGGGTGGCGGCTCCCGCCATCCTCGAGCCTGTGCCAAGCGGCTGTTTCTCTACCACCTGCTGCCTTGGGCTTGCCACGTGTGCTGAGAGACGAGCAGCAGCGCTTGCTCCTTCCTGCCAGACTGATGTGCCTGCCTGCCCCTGGAGTGGAGGTCCCGCCCAGTGCGGACCGCTTTCTGCCTCTCTCCGGGGTTTCTAGTTTCTTTTATGGTGCTGGCCATGGGGGTTTTTAGGGTGCCAAACCCATCTCTCAAAAATACTTGGAAGCTCATTTTGTTAGTCTTTCTCCCATTCACTGTACACTGACAGCTCACGGCTGTTTCTGTGCAGAAGCATTGCATGAAAGACAAGACTGTTGTTTTCAAAAGACATCGCGTATTATTCCTGCCACCTGTTCGTTTCCCTGACCATTAAGGAGAAACCTCCATTTTCTATTACAAAAATACTACATGACTCTTAATACAGAAAAATCGAGAGAAGGAAAACAATTCCCAGTGATGAATATCATTGGGCAGCTCTTTCCTACAAGACTTAAAAAAAAAAAAGAATTAAACTTAGTTCTCCTTCTGGCTTTTAATTACAGAGCTTTGCAAATGTGCAAAACAAAGAAGAGGGGAGAGTGTAAAGAGCCCCACGTGCCCATCACGTAGGCGGCTTCAGCAGTTACTAACTCACGGCGAGTCTTGGCTCATCGTTTGTCTTATCTCCCCCTGCCCCTCTGCCCACTGCCTTATTTTGATGAGATCGGGCGCGTTTAGGGTGGTATGGCCGTAGACTGCTGCCTTATTTTGATGAGATTGGGCGCGTTTAGGGTGGTATGGCCGTAGACTGCTGCCTTATTTTGATGAGATCGGGTGCATTTAGGGTGGTACGGCCGTAGACCACTGCCTTATTTTGAAGCATCACTTTTTCTGTAAATCCTTTAGTGTGTCCTCATTTTATTTCAAAAGATCTAAGTTTATTGTCCCCATATTGTTAGATATTAGGTTGTTTCTACTTTTCATCATTTTAAATAACACCACAGTGAACATATTTGTGTACGAAGATTTTTTTTTTTCCCCCACATACTTAGGGCTGTTCCTCTAGGGGGAGGACTCTAAAAGTGAAATTACTGGGGCATAGGGTATGAGGGTTTTCAGATCCTTTGTATCTGACACCACGCTCCCCGGGTGTGCCCCGCAGGCTGACTTTGCCATCGAGGCCTTGGCCAAGGCGACCTATGAGCGGATGTTCCGCTGGCTGGTGCTGCGCATCAACAAGGCTCTGGACAAGACCAAGAGGCAGGGCGCCTCCTTCATCGGGATCCTGGACATTGCCGGCTTCGAGATCTTTGATGTGAGCCTTGCCCTTCATTACCCACCCTGCTGCCTCCTTGGCCTGTTGGTTGCCTTATCCTTGGTTAAGAACCCTGCTTCTCATGGTCCTGCATCGATCTGAGTTGGCCATCTCCTTTGCATGAAGACTTTGGTTGGGTGTGGGGTTGTTTTTTTTTTTTTCTTTTTTAAAAGATAGGGTCTCGGCTGGGCACGGTAGCTCATGCCTGTAATCCCAGCACTTTGGGAGGCCAAGGCCGGCAGATTGCTTGAGGTCAGGAGTTTGAGACCAGCCTGACCAACATGGAGAAACCCCGTCTCTACTAAAAATACATTAGCCGGGCGTGGTGGCGCATGCCTGTAATCCCAGCTACTCAGGAGGCTGAGGCAGGAGAATTGCTTGAACCCGGGAGGCAGAGGTTGCAGTGAGCCGAGATCACGCCATTGCACTCCAGCCTGGGCAACAAGTGTGAAACTCTGTCTCAAAAAAAAAAAAAAAAAAAGTCAGGGTCTCGCTTTGTCACTCAGGCTGGAGTACAGAGGTGCAGTCATAGCTCACTGCAGCCTTTGCCTCCTGGGCTTAACTGATCCTCGCACCTCAGCCCCCTTAGTAGCTGGAACTATAGGCACGCACCACCACTCCCAGCTAATTTTTAAATTTTTTGTAGAGATGGGGCCTCAGGTGTGGCCCAGGCTCAGTTAGATGTGTTTTAAGCTAAACAGAAGGGCTCATTTTCAACCAGAAATGCTGGAGAAAATGAGACCTTTTGTTTGTTTGTTATTTTTTTTTTGAGGCAGGGTCTTGCTCTGTCACCCAGGCTGGAGTGCAGTGGTGTGAACATGGCTCACTGCAGCTTCGACCTCCCGGGCATAAGCCATTCTCCCACCTCAGCTTCCCGAGTAGCTGGTACTACAGGCATGTGGCATGACACCTGGCTAATTTTTGTATTTTTTGTACGGATGGGGTTTTGCCATGTTGTCCAGGCTGGGAGGATGGGACCTTTTAGGTCACATTCTTGGAGGCTTCCTGGGCAGGTGCTTCCTGTTTATTCTTCCAGCAAATATTCCCTGAGCATCGGGATAAGACATCTCCCTTGCCCATGACAACTTTGAGGTCTAGTAGGGAAACCGATACTTACAGTAGATTAGAGGTTCTTAACCTGGAGTCCACGGGAGGTTTGAGAGGAGCCATGAGCTGGGATGAGAAAATTACATCTTTATTTTTTACTAACCTCTCATTGAAATCATGTATTTTTTCCAGTTGCGAACTGAACAAACTATACAAACCACAGTTGTATTAGCAGTACTTGTGATCTGTCACCAATAGAAATCAGATGTTTTCGTGTTACATTCCGGTTGTTGCAGAGATCTGGTAGTGTCATTTATGCATCGCTACCTCAAAATTTTGGAAGTTATTAAGCCCATGGCTAGTTCTTGTTAATAAGGAAGCACAGAGGCCGGGTGCGGTGGCTCACTCCTGTAATCCCAGCACTTTGGAAGGCTGAGGCAAGAGAATCATTTGAAGTCAGGAGTTTGAGACCAGCCTGGGCAACAAAGCAAGGCCCCATCTCTTCAATAAAAAAATAGAAGGGCCTGGTGCAGTGGCTCACACCTGTAGTCCCAGCACTTCGAGAGGTTGAGGCAGAAGAATTGCTTGAGCTCAGGGGTTCAAGACCAGCCTGAGCAGCATGGTGAAACCCCATTTCTACAAAAAATACCAATATTAGCCATGTACCATAGTGTGTGCCTGGGGTCCCAGCTACTAGGGAGGCTAAGCTGGGAGGATCACTTGAGCCCAGGAAGCGGAGGCTGCAGTGAGCTGAGATTGCGCCATTGTACTCCAGCCTGGGTGACAGAATGAGACTCTGTCTCAAAAAATAAAAAATAAAAAAAAAAAACAATGTATTACTCGATCACAATATTTTGATGATTATATTTCAAAATAACTACTTTCTTTGTAATCTATTGGATGCAATTTAAAGCACTATTCTGAAAAGGCTTTACCAGACTGCCCGCGGTCACTGGCTCCAAAGAGTAAATGTTGCCCACTGCTGGGTGGATAAAGGGAAGGCCAGGAGCATCCGGGCTCTAAAGGCAGCGGCATGGAGGTGCCCAAGGAGGCCCTTCCTGTATCCCTGCCCCACCCTCCTTCTCAAGGGGTGTCTGGGCCTCTTTAGTGCAGGGTTGGCGTCTCTCTGACATTGTTTTCTCTCCTTGCAGCTGAACTCGTTTGAGCAGCTGTGCATCAATTACACCAATGAGAAGCTGCAGCAGCTCTTCAACCACACCATGTTCATCCTGGAGCAGGAGGAGTACCAGCGCGAGGGCATCGAGTGGAACTTCATCGACTTTGGCCTCGACCTGCAGCCCTGCATCGACCTCATTGAGAAGCCAGTGAGTACCAGGCTTGCTTTGACCTCACACCTGCCTCTGGCTTTTCCCTTCCGGGGCACCCGCTCCTCACCTCAGCTCTGTGTTGGTTGTGGAGGTGTCTTAACTCCCCTTCCTTTTGGTGCCACCCGGAGGATGAAGCCCCAAGGCTGAGATCCAGTGCCTGGGAGGCCTGGGTGGGTGCCTCCATTAGAGGAGATGCTCTGGGCTGCAGCTGTGGGCTGGGCTTTTCCCAGCTGCCGGACCAGGTGCATATGTGGCGGGGGCCCTAGCATCCTGTTTTCAGTCCCAGAAGACCACCCAGCATCCTCCTGAAGGCTGGGCTCGATAAGCATTTCTTTGTCTTAAAGAAACAGCCATGCATGGATGTAGTAAGGCCCTATCGCGGGCTGCTTTCACTGTAGCATGGAACAGTGCAGACCCTGGGCATTGAGTGCTCTGCCCAGGTGTACACGTACCAAAGCTCAGCTCATCCCCCCCATAAAACCAGCAAGCAGCAGTGCTTTTATCGCCAGCATTAGCTGTGTGAAGATGGAAAAGAGGAACCCTTTCCAATGAGTTCATACTTAAACCTCTTGCCAGGTAGAGGTTGGGTCGCCTGTTTGTGTTTTAGGCTTGTTGAGGGTATGATCTGTAATGAAGCCTGAGCTGTTCCTGTGTCTGGGTTTTCTTCTTTTTTTTTTTTTTTTTTTTTTTGAGACGGAGTCTCGCTCTGTCGCCCAGGCTGGAGTGCAGTGGCCTGATCTTGGCTCACTGCAAGCTCCGCCTTCCGGGTTCATGCCATTCTCCTGCCTCAGCCTCCTGAGTAGCTGGGACTACAGGCGCCCGCCACCACGCCCAGCTAATTTTTTTGTATTTTTAGTGGAGGCGGAGTTTCACCGTGGTCTCAATCTCCTGACCTCATGATTTGCCCTCCTCGGCCTCCCAAAGTACTGGGATTACAGGTGTGAGCCACCGCGCCTGGCCTGTCTCTGGGTTTTCTTTTGATTATGGTTAATTGATCAGAAGGCCTAGGACAAAGTTTTTTCAGTTTGAAAAAAATTTCCTTTTTTTTTTTGAGACAGATTTTTGTTCTTGTCGCCCAGGCTGGAGTGCAATGGCGTGCTCTCGGCTCACTGCAACCTTTGCCTCCCTGTTTGAAGCGATTCTCCTGCCTCAGCCTCCTGAGTGGCTGGGATTACAGGCTTATTTTTGTATTATTAGTAGAGACGGAGTTTCACCACGTTGGCCAGGCTGGTCTCGAGCTCCTGACCTTAGGTGATCCGCCCGCCTCGGCCTCCCAAAGTGCTGGGATTACAGGCGTGAGCCACCGCGCCTGGCCAAAAATTTACTTTTGTAATGAGCTTTTTTCTTTAATCAGTTGAATTTTCCAACTAATAGGAACCCACTGGGCTTCAAGTTTTGTCAGCCTCTCTGCAGTGTCCAAACCTGCTTTCTTGTCTTGTAAACTCAGTGTGCAGAAGGCTGCTGGGTCCCTGGGACTATCTTCCTCAAGGGGCTCCTCCTACATATCCCATCTCATCATAGACATGCAGACGCAAAGCATGTGGGTTGGCATCTCCCGTGGCAGGATCACAGGGTACTTGTTGAGGGCAGCCTCCTGGGCAGACCCCAGTGCACTGTGAAGTCAGACTCTGGCCCCGCGGGTCAGCGGATGTGCACTTTTCATCAGACCCACTGAGGGTTTCACTAATGCTGGAGAACCACCGCGATGGATCCTTGGGTAAAGGTGTCAGCCGCAGCCTGGGCCCCAGAGGTTTCTTTAGAAGCTAGAAATCTTCAACAGTGCTTTGCTTCTCCTGGGGAGTGTGTCGCCCACCGTCTGTGGGATTCAGGGGATTCTGATGTCCGGGCTTTGGCTTCTTGAAGGGTGGGGTGCCCCTCCCAGGGTGCACTCACCTGTGCTGATGCTGCGCTTCCTCCAGGCAGGCCCCCCGGGCATTCTGGCCCTGCTGGACGAGGAGTGCTGGTTCCCCAAAGCCACCGACAAGAGCTTCGTGGAGAAGGTGATGCAGGAGCAGGGCACCCACCCCAAGTTCCAGAAGCCCAAGCAGCTGAAGGACAAAGCTGATTTCTGCATTATCCACTATGCCGGCAAGGTGAGGAGCGCTCACGGGGAGGTGCTGGCCAGATCTTCACAGGAGAGGTGGAGTCGAGGCTCTCTAGGACCAGGAGCCGGGCAGCTGCTGGGGACGCAGGGGTGTGACCTGAGTACGGTTCTTGCACAATGACTCACCCAGTAATGTGGCCGGTGACAGCATCATCATTTACACAGCTTACAGAGCCCCTTCACCTGCTCCATGCTGTTAGAAGCCTGCGGCACTCCACCGCGGTGCCCAGGCTGGTTGTCATCATGCATTATCGTTGGGCCTGTCTGCCAGGTGCAGAGCTTTGGCTAAAGGCATGTGCTCAGAGTTTGAATAGAGCTCTGCCACTCATAAGCTGTTTGACTTCGGGTCAGTTACTTAACCTCTCTGATCCTTGGTTTCCTCATCTGGAAAATGAGAATGACCACCCACCATACAGGATTATGTGGATTAAACAAGCTCTTGAGGCCCAACATGTGGCATGAATCAGTGCTCCGGGGCAGGGCTCCTCAACCTCGGCATTCCTGGTATTGCGGGCTGGGTCATTCTTTGTTGTGGGACCCTCCTGTGCATGCTAGGATGTTTACCAGCATCCCTGGCTGCTACCCACTAGAGTTAGGAGCACCGTCCTTAGTTGTGACAACCCAAAATGTCTCCAGACATCGCCAAACATGTCCTAGTTTCGGGGGGGGAGGTGCGGGGAATTGCCACTGCTGTGGGTGACAGCTGCTGTTGCCAAGTCTGCCACAGTCAGTCAGTGGTGGACCTGCCCTCAACACTTACCTAGCAGACATCTTCCCAGTCTGCATGTGACTGGGGCTTAGACCCAACTTAGTCCATAGAGGTGCATGCTTAGACAAAAGCTGGTTTTTCTCAGCATATCGTGTGCTTCCTGCACAAAGACCCTAACAGTTAATTGCTGTGATTAGGCAGGGGCTGCGCCATCTCCTTGTTGGTGGTGACTAGTTGGTGATGACTGGCGAGGAGATGTGGGAGCTTTCACAGGTCTGTTCCCAAGCCACAAGGAGTCCAGGCCCGGTTCTAGCACACCTGTGCCGGCCTCTTCTATTTAGCTTGGCTGGTTCCTGGGGCTGCGGAAGCAACTGTCTTAAACTACCCATGAAAAAAATAATAAAGCCAAAAAAGCGATTTACACCATTAACCAAGGAATGTTTCCCGAGCCTCCTTTCTCCACTCTCACCTTTGGGAAACGCACACGCTCATCAGTGCAGAAGCTTCCAGGAAGGCTTTTGCTGTGGGATTATTTGTAATGCTGAATAATTAGGAATACCCTAAAGCCCACCAAGGGGCCTGCACGATGGCATCAACTGTGGTGCGTCTTTCCGTGGGCTGTGCTGTGGCCGCTAAAAGGACAAGGATGTTGGCCTGGGTGGGAGGGTCTGAGCCTGGGGAAAGGAAACTGGCATCACCTACCTCATGATAAACAGCAACATGCATTCGCCTGCATGCTGAGGGGAGCACCCCTGGGATGCAGCAGCGTGCATTCGCTTGCATACTGAGGGGAGCACCTCTGGGCTGCAGTTTGTGTTGGGAAGAGGGAGGCCTAGGTCCCTGATGCTCTCTGGGTATTGTTCTGGGACCTTTTGCAATGAAGATGTCATGCTGTATTACTTGTTCTGTTAAGTATATATTTTAGCAGAGCACAGGGGCTCATGCCTGTAATCCCAACACTTGGGGAGGCCAAGGCAAGAAGACAGTTTGAGCCCAGACGTTTGAGACCAGCTTGGGCAACATAGTGAGACCCTATCTCTATCTTTTTTTTTTTTTTTTGAGACGGAGTCTTGTTCTGTTGCCCAGGCTAGAGTACAGTGGCACGATCTCGGCTCACTGCAACCTCCGTCTCCCAGGTTCAAGCGATCCTCCTGCCTCAGCCCCCCTAGGGGCTGAGATTACAGCCCTGTAGCTGGGATTACAGGCACGTGCCACCACGCCCGGCTAATTTTTGTATTTTTAATAGAGATGGGGTTTTGCCATGTTGGCCAGGCTGGTCTCGAACTCCTGACCTCAGGTGATCCACCCGCCTTGGCCTCCCAAAGTGCTGGGATTACAGGCATGAGCCACCGCACCCAGCCCCTATCTCTATTTAAAATGAGAAAAAAGGAATCTATTTCTGGGAGTCTCTCTGAACCCTCTAGTTTAGGAGGCTGCCCAATTAAAAAAATATATTTAAAAACAGAATATATTTCCAAAAAGATGAAACTGACACATACTCAGAGAAAATGTGAACATTCTAAAAAGACAAAGAAAAAACAAAAATTACTTGTCTTATGACTAAAAAGAAATAGTAACATTTTGTTGTCCTTCCAGGATTGTTTTTCTTTGTTCATATTACCTAAAAATTTTAAAAAAGCTGAAACCCAGCACGGTACTGTGTGGCCACCATGCCATGTCTAGAGCCAGGCTCCCGTTGTTGGCCATGCCTTGCTTTGAGGCTTTGGCTCTGCACGAGACGCCGCAGAGAACGTCTTGATGCCTCGCTCCCCTTATCCTCACCACTTCCTTCTTAGGGGTGGAAATGCTGGATCAAAGGGTCTTCACGTTTTCTGACTTTTCCATGCATGGGGTTAGCCTGTGCTCCGGAGACCCTGTGAGCACACATGTCCCCAGCGCAGCTTGTGACTCCTGCCTCTCTGACCCCGCCAGGTGGATTACAAAGCTGACGAGTGGCTGATGAAGAACATGGATCCCCTGAATGACAACATCGCCACACTGCTCCACCAGTCCTCTGACAAGTTTGTCTCGGAGCTGTGGAAGGATGGTACGCCCTTTGCCCTTCGCCCCCTGCCTCCTCTTGGCTGCGGCTGGTCATCTTCCCACCTCCACAGTGGGCCGAGCTGCCAAACAAGGGGTACACATGTGCCCCCTGACATAGGCCAGGTGGTCTCTGCCCTCTGTAGCTCCCATGAGAGAGGGCTCCTCGGACCGAAACAGGAGGCCACTGCCCTTGCGCACACACCGTGGCCGGGTCCTCCTGGGCGGAGCGCTTTCCGTGTGTGGGAAAGTCAAGGGCAGCCCCGAGCCTCGAAGCCCAGGCTCCCAGCCCCGCGCCATGTTGCATTCCCGCCTCTACTCCTTGGTAGGCTGGTTGCTTTGAGTGGTTCTTTTTAATTCTTTCTGTTGGTTTCTCCTTTTCCTTTGCCTGGGTTTTGCTTTAACCTCTCTGTTGCAGAGATGCAGAGCACTCAGAGAGCCTATTTCTATCATCGCTTTCCTATTCTCCACCTAGAACCAGGTGACTGGCCGCCCGAGTGGTGTCTCTTGTGTGTGTGGTGCGTCCAAAGCTGTGCAAGAAATGCTTCTGCCTAGGTTTTCTCGCGCCCCCCCTTGCCTTGGCTTTTCCTGCCTGCTTACACCCCCGTTCCCTGATCTGCCCCTGGGCTTCTGGGCAGGTTCCCCGCACTGTGCCTATCGCCGGCCTGTAGTAGCAAACTGGGCAAATGAGGGGCTGTGTCTGGAATTTGGAGACGTCACATTCAAATCTTAAAACACTGTAATCCCAGCAATCTGGGAGGCTGAGGCGGGAGGATTGCTTGAGGCCAGGAGTTTGAGACCATTCTGGGCAACATAGGGAGACCCTCATCTCTACAAAAAAATTAAAAAAAAAAAAATCAGCTGGGTGTGATGGTGCATGCCTGTAGTCCCAGCTGCTCAGGAGGCTGAGGCGGGAGGATCACTTGAGCACAGGTCAAGGCTGCAGTGAGCTGTGATTGCACCACTGTACTCCAGCCTGGGTGACAGGGTGAGACCCTGCCTCAAAAAAAAAAAAAAATCTTAAAACAGCAAAAATTGTTTAAAAATTTGTATCCTCCTTAGAGCTTCATGCCTAAAGACAGCGTCTTAAACTGCTTGAATGGCTGCGAGTGTCTTAGCATGAGGTTCAGGTATGCACACTGCTGTGTCTGTGCACCTGAAAGCTGAAGTGGCATCTGTGTGTTCATTCAACAGTTGCTCGGCAAGGTCTGCTCCATGGGGGTGGGGCCAGGACACACTCAGCTAAAAGGGCCAGTTATGATGAGGCCACATTAACCTTTCTCTGGACAACCTGAGTGGCTTTTGCAAGTTACCACGCCCAGGAAACCTGTGGTAGCCAGGAATATTGACCCTGTGGTGGGTACATAAGGTCAAAGATGACTCCCTTTTTTTTTTTTTTTGAGACAGAGTTTTGTTCTTGTCACCCAGGCTGGAGTGCCATGGTGCAATCTCGGCTCACTGCAACCTCCGCCTCCTGGGTTCAAGTGATTCTCCTGCCTCAGCCTCCCAAGTAGCTAGGATTACAGGCACCCGCCACCACGCCCAGCTAACTTTTGTATTTTTAGTAGAGATGGGGTTTCACCATGTTAGCCTGGCTGGTCTCGAACTCCTGACTTCAGGTGATCCACCCGCCTCAGCCTCCCAAAGTGCTGGGATTACAGGCGCGAGCCACCATGCCCAGCCACCTCCCATTTTAATTGACTGGTTTGTAGGCTCCATCCACACTCCTGGCTTCTGTCTTAAGCAAGCATCCTTTTTGCTGTCTTCAAGTAAATAATAGTAATCTGGCCGTGAAGGAATACGAAACGGGCTTCGTCAGTATTCTTCACTTTTATATCCAGTAATAGAAGGCTTCACATTTAACATTAGCTCTTGCTTAAACTGATCTCAAATCGCTGGCCACTTTGGTTTGGCTTGTTTGTTTGTTTTTTACCTTGGAGGATGCAATTGGTTTAATTGCTGCTGGGTGTGAGTTCCAGTGCTAGGGGCTGCTTCCCTTGAGGGTCGGTTTACATGAGAAAGACCCGTGCACCAGGAGACAAAATGAAATACAAGTACGTGAAGAGATCCCTAAACTTTGGAGTATTTATAATCAAGAGCAGTTCTTTGGAGCTCTCCCTTCCTGAGATGTCTGCGTAGATATAGAGGGGACCCTGCAAGGTTCTGCAGACAGTGACAGGGTGGCCCCAAGCTCTGCCTCCTGACTCCCAGCCGAGTGCTCTTATGACAGGGTCAGTGAGAATTCAAGATACTGATTTTTTTTTTTTCTAACTGTGACCATAGGACAGCAGGATTCCGTAAGCCAGGTTTTCACACCCCTCGTTAGAGCCAGGCTAGTAGAATTCTCACTATTCCAAAATACATGACTAGCTTCATTGAGTCTTTTTGGAAATAAGAGCTTCGAGAGTGGCTGAAGATAGGTGACAGGAAGGTGAGGTGGCCATGGCAGATGCATGGCTCCCCAAGAGACAAGCCCAGTGCCTTTGCATCCCCCTTGGCTTCCCGCTGTGTTTGGGGATGACCTTAGCACCCAGTGTAGGCTCCAATTGGAAAGGGTCCTGTTGTTTCATTCTGTCTCCTCTTTTCCTGTCCGACGTGTGCCTGTCTCTCTCTCCTACGTGCTCCCCCACCACCCAGCTGCAACTGTGTGGGCACTCACGTGTTCTCTGTGGTCTCCACAGTGGACCGCATCATCGGCCTGGACCAGGTGGCCGGCATGTCGGAGACCGCACTGCCCGGGGCCTTCAAGACGCGGAAGGGCATGTTCCGCACTGTGGGGCAGCTTTACAAGGAGCAGCTGGCCAAGCTGATGGCTACGCTGAGGAACACGAACCCCAACTTTGTCCGCTGCATCATCCCCAACCACGAGAAGAAGGTGCGGCTGCCTGGTGGGGTGGCCCGGGCAGGGCACTGTGGTGTGGGGTGCTCAGCCCTTGTCTGTCTCCCCAGCAAAAGCACCCCTCCAGCCCCCCAGCATGCACAGAGCCTTCAGTCGTTTCTCTGCAGGGTGGGCCTTGGCTCGCTTAGGAGATACGCTACATTCACAGCCTGCACTTCCTCTTGGTGGCATTGGCCCCTCCCAGACCTGGATCCTTTGACTTCATTGTCCAAACCTGTGGGCTGTAGCGACCCCCTCCCTTAGGCTCTTGCCCTGTCAGGTTCATAGGGGTTCCCTGACTATTCTCCGACTGTTCTAGGCACGGAAGTGAGACCGCATGCATGTGTTTTCTTCTCCAGGCCGGCAAGCTGGACCCGCATCTCGTGCTGGACCAGCTGCGCTGCAACGGTGTTCTCGAGGGCATCCGTATCTGCCGCCAGGGCTTCCCCAACAGGGTGGTCTTCCAGGAGTTTCGGCAGAGGTGAGCCAGGGCCCGGAGCCCGCTTCTCCTGGGCCCTGCTGTGCGTGCAGTGAGTCCCAGAGGTGGGCTGCTGCTCCCTGGCAGGATCCTGTCGTGAGGGAGCGACGTCCTCCATCCATGTAGAACTGAGTCTGGCCAGCTCTTCCCCACCTCCTTCTCTTTTCCACCCTTTGCAGGAAAGGAGACTTCCCCATTTTAATACCGAAATGCAGGTCATCATCATCCTGTTGACTTTTGCTCCTAGTAACTGCCGGCCCTGGTGCTATTTGCTACAGTTAGAGGAGCTATGAAAAGAAATGTAAAAGAATCAGCCAGAGACCTAGGATATTACAGGAACTTTGTGGAAATGAAACACGGCCGTGCGTTGCTGTGTGCGAAGACGGCGACACCTTCCTGTTTCTCTAATGACTGTGCTGAGTGTCAGTTGCTGTCGGGACGCAGCCCTTTATTTCTTGGGCCATCTCTGTTTATTAGCAGCTCCCTGCAGCGTCCCAGGGAAGCTGTGTGAACATGGCTGTCCCTGGGTGACAGATGAGGATCTCAGGCAATTAGCACTTAGTCCAACCTGAAGCACGCCCTTGAGTGATTGAAACGGTCCTACACGAGTTTCCATTCACTTTCCGGAAAACACCAAGGCTTCCTTGTCTCATTCAGCCGAAGAAAAGAGTGGGGTGGGATTTGCCTGTGTCTTCTTTCCTTAGGAGAGTTTGTGTAAAGAATTCTGTGTCTGTTGCATTGTAGAAATGATGTTAATCTCTCGCCTATATTCCAGGCATGTGGAATCGAGGCAATGGGTAAAATGACCAGGCTTCTCTTTCCTTCCTCAGATATGAGATCCTGACTCCAAACTCCATTCCCAAGGGTTTCATGGACGGGAAGCAGGCGTGCGTGCTCATGGTGAGTTGAGCTGCTGTCCCTGCCTCTCTGGATGGGCAGCCCCTTGTCTGGGGAGTGCCCACGTGGCCAGGGCCCACCTTGCTATATCAGTGGTCGGTGGATGCCCAGGCTGTGTCCCTTCTGATGCTCCGCGTCTGACTCTGCCGGGCGCCCTTTGCAGTAGCCCCTAGGCCTCAGATAGCCAGGGATGGTGTTTGGCACCAGGGTTGTGTGGAGGAGACAAGAACTGTAGCCATGGCCGGGCTCTGATGTAAGATGATGGCCTCTTTGGTTTGGGGGACATTCTCCTGCTTTCTTGCTCACGGGCCTGACTCCACATCCAGTGTGGTGAGCAGGGCAGCTCACAGCCAGGGCAGCAGGCCTGGTGCTCCGTGACCTGGGCTTCTCCTCCCTCCCTCCCCACTCCCAGCCCTAGCGCAGTGCTGGACGGGCTGTGCGCATGCTCTGAGTTCCGGTTGATTGAAAGCCCTGCGGTGACTCAGTGCCAAGCCAGGGCTGAATCCCACCCTGCTCCTTTTTTCCCCTTCCCAGCATCCTGTTGTTTCTGGCGTGTCCAGGTTAGCAGCTGCTACCTTTGGCCTTGTTTTACTTCACGTTCTTTCTAAAGAATCAGAAAGCTTTGGCTGCAGAGTAGGGAGTTGGTGGGAGGAAAAGAGAAGGAAAAATTCAACACCTACTGTGTGCACAGCCTGCGTTCGGTGACGGGGAGATAGGGAACAGGAAGAAGGAGGGAGAGGAGATGGCTTTCTGCTCTCCAGATGCTCGTCAGCCAGTGAGAAGAAGGGTGAAGGGCACACCTCCAGCTGTGCCTGGGCCACCCTTTCATGGAGCTGTGGCCAGTTGCTGGCCAGGTAAACGGCCTGCTCCTCCCACCTAGATAAAAGCCCTGGAGCTCGACAGCAATCTGTACCGCATTGGCCAGAGCAAAGTCTTCTTCCGTGCCGGTGTGCTGGCCCACCTGGAGGAGGAGCGAGACCTGAAGATCACCGACGTCATCATAGGGTTCCAGGCCTGCTGCAGGGGCTACCTGGCCAGGAAGTGAGTCCCGGGAGATACTCCTGCCCCGCATGCCAGGCCTTGCCACGCCCTTCTGTTGCCAAAGGGCACTTAGCAGGCCACCCCGCTGCAGCCAGTCACATGCCTGTCAGGGAGGCCCAGGTGGCTCTTCCTACCCCTGTTCCTGGATTTCTACCTTTGAGGAGTAGAATCGGGCAGTTCTTTTTTTTTTCTTTTTTTTTTTTTTTTTTTGAGACGGAGTCTCACTCTGTCGCCCAGGCTGGAGTGCTGTGGTGCGTTCTCGGCTCACTGCAACCTCCACCTCCCACGTTCAAGTGATTCTCCTGCCTCAGCCTCACTTAGTAGCTGAGGTTACAGGTGCACGCCACCACGCCCAGCTAATTTTTGTATTTTTAGTAGAGACGGGGTTTCGTCATTGTTGCCCAGGCTGGTCTCGAACTCCTGACCTCAAGTGATCCGCCCACCTCAGCCTCCCAAAGTGCTGGGATTACAGGCATGAGCCACTGCTCCTGGCTGAATCTGGCATTTCTGATTGGGGTTTAGAGTGATGGGTGGGAAGAGGCTGACTCTGCTTGGATTTGCCTGCCTGAAGGATCCTGCTTACCAGGACTCCTTACCGTGTGACCCTTGTGGGGACAGCACCCAGAGCCTGCCTGTCCCTAAAGAACCCTGTGATTCCAGGGGAGCAGGCCATCCTCGAGTCCAGACTCATCTTTGACTCCCTGGGGAATGACGGCTCCCCTGCTGCAGGACAGCGGCTGTGGGCACTGCACACTCGTCCCCTTGTGCTCGGGGATGGGGTCCTAGCAGGAGCGCCGAGCTCTGGGAGACGAAGCTTGAGCATTTGCACAGATGGAGGCTTGTTTATCCAAAAGCCCTCCAGCTGACACCTGCAGCCCACCTTCACAGTACATCAGCTTCTGACGTTCTCCCACCAAACAAAAGCTCAGATAGGGAACAGCACGAAGGGTGGGAAGCTGAAGTCCAGAGTCACCCAGGGCCAGTCAGCTTAATCACCAAGGGTCACGCTCAGTCCCCACACTGAGTAGGATCTGTGGTTACTTCACACGTGCCTTCACCCCCATGGGCACCTCAGTGGAGGGGTAGTCTGGTGACCTAGGTCCTTCACCGACTGTAAGATTAGTGCCTCATGGAGTCACACAGCCTGTAAGTGGGAGAAACTTATCTCAACCCCAAGGCCAGACCCCTTCCCTGAATTTCTTTCTTGAGGTGCCCCAGGCAAGGGTAGACCCCCAGAAAAGCTTGAGGACAAGACCAGGACTGTTAGGTCGGGTCTGCTGTCCACTGCTCCGCGCTGACCATGTTCCTCACCACACAGAGCATTTGCCAAGCGGCAGCAGCAGCTTACCGCCATGAAGGTCCTCCAGCGGAACTGCGCTGCCTACCTGAAGCTGCGGAACTGGCAGTGGTGGCGGCTCTTCACCAAGGTGCGTGCTAGAAGGGCCTCCTGAGTAGCTGGGACTACGGGTGCACACCACCATACATACCTGGCTAATTGTTTGTATTTTTTGTAGAGGTGTGGTCTCACCATGTCGCCCAGGTTGGTCACAAACTCTTGGGCTCCAGCAATCCTCCTACCTCAGCCTCCCAAAGTGCTGGAATTACAGGCATGAGCCACTGTGCCCGGCCCTTTTTGATTTTTAGTAGAGACAAGGTCTCACTATCTTGCCCAGGCTGACCTTCCTGGCCTTTAAAAAAAAAATCTCTTTATTTTTAAACTTGTCCGGGCTGCTTTTGTGTATAATACATAATTTATGGTAATGGCGAAAAACCAACTCACAAAAAGCCTAAAGAATTAAATAAAAATTCACACATAAACCCTTAGCCTAAACCAACAGCAGCAGCTATTTTAGTGTTTAATTTCTCGCTCTTTTTCTCACTGCCTATAAAACCTCAGCTATGTAAACAGTATACATTCTTCCATAGCTGAGTTTGACTCATATAAACAGTTGTAGTTCGTACGTTCCATTTATGATTCCTTCATAAGCATCGTTTTTTTAGAGGTAGTGTGCTGTTCCCTAGGGAACACATCATTATCTGGGTACTTTTTCAGAGATGGGTCCTTCCTCATTTTCTTGCTGTGATAAACAATGCCGAGGTGAACATCTTCACGCACACGCAGGGATAGTTTCCCTGGAATGTAGTTAGCGGGTCAGAAGCCCGTGGTACAGAGCGCCAGGAAGGATGTGCCTGCTTGCAGCCCCCACCACAGCGTGTCTTCTTGCCCCTCACTTTCATGTTTCCAGAGGTGAGGGAGAGGCCTCACACCTGTTGGCAGAGGCGGGCATCTTCCAGCCGAGCATGTCTCTACCTCTATCTCCTCTCCCAGGTCAAGCCGCTGCTGCAGGTGAGCCGGCAGGAGGAGGAGATGATGGCCAAGGAGGAGGAGCTGGTGAAGGTCAGAGAGAAGCAGCTGGCTGCGGAGAACAGGCTCACGGAGATGGAGACGCTGCAGTCTCAGGTGGGTGTCAGTGCAGGCTCAGTCCAGGTCGCACGACCTGCCTGGTGCTGCCACCTGCTGGCCATCGGTAGGCACGGCATGCTGGAAGTTTCTATTACTATAGGAGTTTTCTACAACTGAGTTTCCTATTACTGTAAACAGTGACCAGTCTCTCTGCAGACCCCATTGGGTGTTAAGTGATGTAGGGAGGCCACTTAATAGAGTGGAACGTTCACAAGTGTTGGGTTCAAACCTCAGCTCTACCACATGACTTGAGCCCATTTCCTGGGACCTTGCTCTGGAGCTCATGGGGTAGTGAAAAATCAAGGACACGATGTCTGGAAGGTACCTGGAAGCTTCAGAGCTCTCCAGATGAAAGCTACTTTTGTCTGCATGTTCCTTTCCCTCTGGGATCCCGAGCCATGGCGTCCGTCCTTGAGGATGGAGTGGCTTGAGGGTGTTGCGAGGAGCTTGTGTTTTCCACTTGTTGTTTGCAGCTCATGGCAGAGAAATTGCAGCTGCAGGAGCAGCTCCAGGCAGAAACCGAGCTGTGTGCCGAGGCTGAGGAGCTCCGGGCCCGCCTGACCGCCAAGAAGCAGGAATTAGAAGAGATCTGCCATGACCTAGAGGCCAGGGTGGAGGAGGAGGAGGAGCGCTGCCAGCACCTGCAGGCGGAGAAGAAGAAGATGCAGCAGAACATCCAGGTTCCTGCCCGCTGCACCCGGGGAGGGGTGGCGCCGGAGGGGCAGGGCGGGGCGGAGGAGCAGGAACCAGGAGCTGGGAGAACATGGAATTAGGGTCCAAGGAGGCTGCTCCTCACGCAATCTGCTTGGGGCTCTCAGTGAGAGGTGTTCCCTTTGGGCTGGTAGTTTGTGACATGTGCATCTGAGATCTCCATGAGCACTGCCTGGGCCAGCATCAAGGCCAATTTGATTTCCCTGCCATTAGCCCTGGCCCTGGCTAGCCGAAGGGGCACAGGGCCAGCACCTCTGCGTCCTGCCTGTTTCATGGGTGGGAGCTTGCTGCAGGAAACCCTTCAGAACATTGCACCGATGTTCTGGCCCTGTGTCCCAGTTTGAAATCTGGAATCCTACAAATGGGGCTTGGGCCCTGCCTCGGCTGTGGCCCTGGGCTGGCGGACCTTGCCGTCCCCACCTCAGCCATGGCCCTGGGCTCACAGACCTTGCTATTTTCTCCTTGGCGTTTGGATCTGGCCTTCGGACCTTGCTGCCTTCACCTTGGCCATGCCTCTGGGCCTGCTGTCCTTACCGTGTCTCTGGCCCCCGGCAGGAGCTTGAGGAGCAGCTGGAGGAGGAGGAGAGCGCCCGGCAGAAGCTGCAGCTGGAGAAGGTGACCACCGAGGCGAAGCTGAAAAAGCTGGAGGAGGAGCAGATCATCCTGGAGGACCAGAACTGCAAGCTGGCCAAGGTGAGGCCCGTGGCTGTCGCCTGCCGCTGCTCCAGGGGCGCCGTGGATGGGAGAGTGTGGTCACCCTTGCAGGGCCTGGCTCCCCGCTGCTGCTGCTTCCTGTCTCTTCTGCCTGCAGCATGAGGGCTTCTGCTTAACTGCAAGTGCTCCCTGGAGGTCCCATGGGCCTTAGTTGAGGGATTTCCTCATAAGCAAAGGGGCCCTGGGGAAGGGTTTGTCCTTTCCCCTCTGGAAAGCTCTTCTTTGCCAGCCGTGAGACCCGAGCCTGTGTAAAGGTGGCCATCTGTGCAGCATTGCAAGTGTTGGTCACTGTGGGGTTGGGGACACCTTGGTGGCTCTGTGTTGAGATACGGGGTACTCTTCCTCCACTGTCCCTGGGCGGCAGCTATTCCTCTTGAGAATGAGTTGGGTCCCTGTCGGTGTCTGCCCAGGGAGCAGATAGCAGCCGGGGAACCAGTTAGAGGAGAAGGCAGGAGAAGGCAGCCTCCCCACCTTTCGGGCCTCCTCAGAACATGGGAGCCCCAAAGGCTGGGGAGGCTGAGGTGGCAGGACGCCCACCCGGGACTGGGATGAGGGGACTCAGGTGCTTGTGCCGAGCTGTGGCCGCTGGGCAGGGGTGTTGCAGGGGCCACACAGAACAGAAAGCAAGGAGAGCAGCCCGGGGCACCGCGGGGCTGAAGAGGGGGAGGGGCCGTGGCCCACCTGGCAGGTGAGAGAGGGGCACGGAGAAGGTGGCCTGGTGGCGCAGGTGAGCGCCGTGTGGCAGCCTCTTGAAGGAGTGGAGCCATCTGTCCCTGCTGACACTAGCTGTCACCTGGAATCCTTTCTCACCCAAGCCCACAGGGGAAGGGGAAGGGCTTGGGCACCCACATTTTTTGGTTCTAAGGAAGCGTACCTCGCTGTTTCAGGGGAGCTCGTGACCTTTCAAAATTATCCTTTGATCTAGGAAAATCCTAATGAACTTGATCAAGCGTCTAAAGCCCTCTCCATTCAGCCCCAGATTTCCGGGCGAGTCATGCTTTGAGGCTAGCAAGTGTTCTGTGCTCAACCAACACTAAATGCCAGCCTACTCCCCTCTCCCCAGGAAAAGAAACTGCTGGAAGACAGAATAGCTGAGTTCACCACCAACCTCACAGAAGAGGAGGAGAAATCTAAGAGCCTCGCCAAGCTCAAGAACAAGCATGAGGCAATGATCACTGACTTGGAAGGTGAGGGGGTGACGAGCAGGAGGTGATGGGCAGGGGCTGGCGGGCAAGGGCTGGCGGTCAGGGGCCGGCCTGTCTGACCGGAACACCGAGGCCTTCTCAGCTCACGGGTGAGCCTGGGTCACACTACAGCACTGGCTGCTGCCCTTTAGACCTGAGGTCACCAGGTCGAGGGGAGCCGTGTCTGGTGCCTGCGGGAACCTGAGCCTCCAGGCCCCTGTTGCTCTGTGGCTAGATGCCCCCACTGCATGAAGCGTGTTTAGAGAGCTTTGGCATTGCTCTGTTGTGTGCCGTGGGTTTTGGAAGCTTCTGAGACTTCCTAGGAGGCTCCGGGTTTGACCCACAGGACTCACTAGCTCTGTCACTGACTAGCTGGCTCATCTTGCAGCTATGACTTAAGCTCCATGAGCTTTAGTTTTACCTAAAAAGGGGACACAGTGCTAGGGTGTCTGTGAGAATTTCATTAAATACATGTGAACACATATGTACCGTAAAGTCCTAGACGAATACTGCGGAAGTTCATTGCTTGACTTGGGGCAGGGTGACAAATCCTGCCTTGTCTCTGTGTGCCCTCGGGATCTGTGGCAGGGAGGGGGTGCTGGGGTAGAAGCACAGGTCCGTGGCTGTCTGAGGACCCCCAGCCCTGCCCCTTGAGAGGAGTGGACAGCTGGGGGAACAGGGGAACCCCGACTACTCTGGGAACTCTGAGCTCATACCCAGGGGAGGGAGACCAAAACCTGACCACCGGGAGGATTATCCCCAGCTTAGTTTCACAGTCTTGTCCGGCCCCCTCACATCTGCAGGGGATGAGGTGAGTCAGGTCCAGCAGAAGAGAGGTCCGGACACAGAGAGATCTCTTCCCTCACAGACACCCTCCCTCACCTGGGAGGAGCCCGGAAGACTTGGTCATCTAGGAGGTCTAGGGGTTGCCTTGCACCCACCAGATGGACAGACATGAAAGGTTGACACTAATAAGGGCTAACATAGACACGGAGCTGTCAGAGCACACATATGCTGCTGCTGGGACTGCAAACTGGTAGACGGCGTTAGAGAACGATCCGGCAGTCCTAGTGAGGTTGAAACTTAGCATGCCGGTGACCTGGCCGTTCCATCCGTCACTCAGCCGTGTGCACTGAGAGTGAGCAGGATGCTTGCAGCAGCGTTGATCAGAGCGTGCGATGAACACAGCCGCATGCCCGCCAGCTGCAGGACGGGTACATAAGTAAGTTGTGGTGTATTCTCATAATGGAATCCTAGACAAATGTCCTTACACATCTATTCCAGCGAAACTTCACGGGCTACATCTCAAGATCACGTGATGGGGTGGCAAAGGCACGGCAGGGAATAACCATCACGAGGCAGGCACTGTTCTAGGTGCTTTTTAAGATAGTAACTCATTGGCGCCTCACAGCATCCTAATGAAGTAGGCTGTCTCCTTTTGCTTATTATTCAGATGAGGTATAGAAAGTAGCTTTCCCAAGTGACATCACAGAGTTATAAAGCTAGACATAGAGCCCTGACCGTGCGATTCCAACTGTGGAATTCACACAAGGCAGTTCCATTATATAAGTTCAGATTCACACACAATTGAACATGTTTTTTAGAGATACAGACATGGTACAGCCTTCAAGGGAACCAAGGGAATTACAAACACCAGCTTTAGGAGAGTACTTAATTCCTGGCAGGGAAGGACAAGGGGTGAGTTGGAGAGAGACATGCCAGGGGCTAGCAGTTTGCAGTGATGTCCTCTTCCTGCATCCAGGAGTTGGGTGCGAGTGTCTGTGTGTTTGTGATGCTTTAAGCCTGACACACGTTTCATAACGAGTGCTCAGTATTTTGTATAAGTAATTGACACGGAGACAGAACCCATGGCACTGAGGGCTATGTGGGCTCCCCCTGCATTGCAGAGCGCCTCCGCAGGGAGGAGAAGCAGCGACAGGAGCTGGAGAAGACCCGCCGGAAGCTGGAGGGAGACTCCACAGACCTCAGCGACCAGATCGCCGAGCTCCAGGCCCAGATCGCGGAGCTCAAGATGCAGCTGGCCAAGAAAGAGGAGGAGCTCCAGGCCGCCCTGGCCAGGTGAGGACCCCGCCTGCCCGCCTGAGGCCAGGTGGCCTGGGCCAGCCCTTCCTGCTTGCTGCTGGCCCTAGTTCTCGGCACTAGTGAGCTGTGAGCATTCTTTCCACTGTTGTCTTAAAAGAGCCATTTATTTCATAGCAAAACAGTTCTTGTGCACTCAGGGCATGGTGAGGGGCCTCATTTGTCTTTTGTTTGTTTATAATTTGAAAAAAAGTCATCCACAGCTCTATCACCCACCTACAATAGTCCTTTCCTAATTTCTTGCTATAGGCACACTTAAAAAAAAAAAAAAAAAAAAAAAAGACTTGACCAGGCACGTTGGCTCACGTCTGTGATCCCAGCACTTTGGGAGGCCAAGCCGGGTGGATCACTTGAGGTCAGGAGTTCGAGACCAGCCTGGCCAACATGGTGAAACCCCCATCCCTACCAAAAATATAAAAAATTCGCCAGTGTGGTGGCACACGACTGTAATCTCACCTACTCAGGAGGCTGAGGCAGGAGAATCACTTGAACCCAGGAGGCAGAGGTTGCAGTCAGCCAAGATCGTGCCATTGCACTCCAGCCTAGGTGACAGAGCGAGACTCTGTTTAAAAAAAAAAGAAAGAGACTTTATTTTTTAGAGTAGTTTTAGATTCACAGAAGAGTCAGCAGAAGATTCTCCATCTATCCACTGCCCCACTCACGCACCGCCTCCCCTGCAGTCAACATCCCCTACCACAGTGCTGTGTCTGTTCTAATTGGTGAACCTACGTTGACCTGTCATAACCATCTAAAGTCCGTAGCACATTCGTATTTTTACTGAGTTGCAGTTGTCCTGTGGTGTAGCGTTTTATTTCCTTTTCTTCCCATTTAACACATCATTTGACTTTTAAAAATATTTGAAGCAGTGAATCTTACTTTGGAAATTGAAACGATTCCTCTATGAGGTTTTCTGCTTCTCAGAGGGGTGTTGCCCTTCAATCTGGTTGTCTCAGATGTTGTTTCTGCTGAGAGCCATCCTAAGTGCCATGATTGTGACCACAGGAGGCAGCTTTGGCTGCTGCAGCTCTCTCAGGCCTGTCCTGCAAACTCTGCTCCTTGGAGGTGAAACTCTCCTTATACTGATGTTGCTGGTCGCTTTGGCAGAGTGGAAGAGGAAGCTGCCCAGAAGAACATGGCCCTCAAGAAGATCCGGGAGCTGGAATCTCAGATCTCTGAACTCCAGGAAGACCTGGAGTCTGAGCGTGCTTCCAGGAATAAAGCTGAGAAGCAGAAACGGGACCTTGGGGAAGAGCTAGAGGCTCTGAAAACAGAGTTGGAGGACACGCTGGATTCCACAGCTGCCCAGCAGGAGCTCAGGTGTGCCCTGGGACCAAGTCCCTCGGGATGGGGAGGGCAGCCAGGGGGGCCTTGGCTTGGAGACATGGACCCCGGGCCTCTGCACACACACACACACACACACCGTGGCCCTCTTAGGCACCAGCAGGCATGGAAGCTGCTGGTTCCTCAGCGGTTTCTCTCTACAGAGTAGAAAGTCTGTTGAAGGACCTGGCTCAAAGTTGGGGGTGAGGCAAGGCTGGGCTTTAAAGCTGAAAGGCTACAGAAGCTCTCACAGGGCGTATTTGAGCCTGGGCTATGGGATAGATGGCTAGGAGGGGCCGGTGGGTAGAAAAGCTGCCTGGAGTGCCTGTGCCCTGGCCAGGCCTCTCTTTGGTCAGGGAAGAGCCCCAGGGACAGCCTCGCTCCAGCATCCCCGGCCTCCACTCTGAGGGGATTTCTCTGTCCAGGTCAAAACGTGAGCAGGAGGTGAACATCCTGAAGAAGACCCTGGAGGAGGAGGCCAAGACCCACGAGGCCCAGATCCAGGAGATGAGGCAGAAGCACTCACAGGCCGTGGAGGAGCTGGCGGAGCAGCTGGAGCAGACGAAGCGGGTGCGGAGCCTCCCTGAGACCGCAGGGGGAGGGCAGGGTTCCCCGTGCTGGGCCCACAGAATCCAAACCAGTCCTGCAGAGCAGTTGCAGGGTTCTACCCAACTGCCTGGTTCTGAGGCCAGGCTCCCCTTCTAAGGGGCTTTGTGACTCGTGCCTCAGTTTCCCTGTTCATAAGGGAGGATTATGGTATGTCTGTCTCGTGATTATTTGAGGGTGAAAACATTACATCGTTACTTTGAACATCAGACTTCAGACAGGCTTTATTGGAAGTCTAACTGCAAACAATTATAGTTCCCCTTATTGCGTTACAAATATTGCTAACATCTGCAACACCAATGCCATGCCCTAGAACCTGGCCTCTACCCAGGGCAGAAGGCTGGGCAGGTATTATTTTAGAGATGGGGAAGCTGTGAGATGTCCTAAGCAGTGAAGACAGGAACCAAGTGTCACCCACCAGCTAAGAGAGAAGAGGACAGGACAGATGAGGCCCGAGCCGTCTGAGTCCAGGACGCAGGCACACCGTCGTCAGGGCTGCAGAAGCAGCGATGTCTGGATCTAGGGTCCAGTGATGATAGACCAGCCAGCCTTGTGTCAGGAGGCCCCCACTCACGTCTTTGCTTTCTTCCCTGCTAGGTGAAAGCAAACCTCGAGAAGGCAAAGCAGACTCTGGAGAACGAGCGGGGGGAGCTGGCCAACGAGGTGAAGGTGCTGCTGCAGGGCAAAGGGGACTCGGAGCACAAGCGCAAGAAAGTGGAGGCGCAGCTGCAGGAGCTGCAGGTCAAGTTCAACGAGGGAGAGCGCGTGCGCACAGAGCTGGCCGACAAGGTCACCAAGCTGCAGGTGAGGCCTCCGCCAGGACCCTGGCGCGGGCAGTGGGCCCTAGCAGCAGTTGTGGCCCAGGTCCCCAGGTGCATGTGTGCTCTCTGTCTCTCTCTCTTCTCAAACTGGCTCCTCAGACCCTCATGGTTCAGCTTGTGACTCAGGTCCAGCTTTACCTAAAGGAGATGAGGTGGGGCAGGAGCAGTGGGGGTGGGTCCATGGTCCTTTGTGTCTCCCCGCCCGGTGCAGGTGGAGCTGGACAACGTGACCGGGCTTCTCAGCCAGTCCGACAGCAAGTCCAGCAAGCTCACCAAGGACTTCTCCGCGCTGGAGTCCCAGCTGCAGGACACTCAGGTAGGGGTGGCGCCAGGTTCCCAGAAGGTGGACCCCTCCAGAAAGGCCTCTGTGTCCACGCAACATTAGCTTCAGAGCCCATCGGATTGCCCATCCTCTCCTTCATCTGCTTCATCCTGTGGGTGGGTCTCTGCGTCCTCCCAGCTCCCTCCAGGTCTTTACGTGGCCATCCCCTAAATCAGCAGGACCAGCTCCTCCCTCTCCTCAAGGGTGTGGGGTTCCTGGGTTTTGGACACCACCCTCCTAAGCACCCGCACCCCTCTCAACCCGCGAGTAGGAGCTGCTGCAGGAGGAGAACCGGCAGAAGCTGAGCCTGAGCACCAAGCTCAAGCAGGTGGAGGACGAGAAGAATTCCTTCCGGGAGCAGCTGGAGGAGGAGGAGGAGGCCAAGCACAACCTGGAGAAGCAGATCGCCACCCTCCATGCCCAGGTTTGGAGGCCTGGGGGACCGGCCGGACTCTGCAGGCTGGGGAGCTGCTGGCCGGGCACTGGCCTGGGCACTGCAGGACAGCCCTGCCCGCTGGGCCGGCCCATTGCTGCTCTCCCCCTGGGAAGCCAACCGTGCTCTCCCACATCAGTGCTCTCAAGGAAAGGAATCCAGGGATCTGTGGACTTAGATGGGGGACACCACTATTTTCACTATTTTACACCTTTATTTTCACCAGTCTTTAGCTGAAATTCAGCATTGCTTCCATTATGGATGTAGGCAGCAAGCCATGGTGGTGGCAGTCCCTGTGCCGTCATCATCTGTAGAAATGGCCAGTTACCCTGTCAGGGTTGTGGCCGAGCTCCTTGGCCTCATGGGTCCCAGGCCTGCGCTGTTTGTTATCTGATGTGCTATCTAGCAGCACGTGGCTTCCTGAGCCATGGTTTTTTAGAATGTGTGACAACTGCATTTTTCTGTACTGGTTGCCCTGCTGATCCCATGTTTATTTCATGCCTGTTACAACATTGTCATGAGAAGGAGTCCCTTGGCCTCTCTAGACTGCGAAGGGGTCCGTAGCCTAATATGGTTTCAGAGCCCCTGCTCTAGATCCTATCTTGGGCCTCCATGTGCCAGGCCAGAAGGCCTGAACCACCTCGGGATGGGCTGGGAGTCCATTCCACAGTCAGGGTAGGAGTAGCCCGCGAGCGTGCCTGATTGTGGGTTTATCTCCAAGTGCAAGGATGGGGCTGGGTGATGGGGACCCCGTGGACACCCTACAGGGCACTGGCCCTGCTCTCTGGGAGCAGTCTCCGTAGAGCAAGAGGCTTGGTGTGGATGTGGGCTGGGAGCCCCCACAGCGGGCCTGGGGGTCAGCCTCCCCCGGGCTTCACACAGTAGACAGATGCCCCTTTGCAGAAGCTCCATTTGTCTCGCCCCTGTGGAGAGGGAAGTGACTGGGGGAGGCGGTTTCATAACTGGGCAGATCCCTGGTGCCCCTTCCACGGTGTGGCAGGCAGGCTCCCAGCTGCCCCAGGGACGGGTGTGCCACCTGAGCAGGTGCCATCTCGGGCATCTGCTTACTCCTTGCTCCTGCCCAGGTGGCCGACATGAAAAAGAAGATGGAGGACAGTGTGGGGTGCCTGGAAACTGCTGAGGAGGTGAAGAGGAAGCTCCAGAAGGACCTGGAGGGCCTGAGCCAGCGGCACGAGGAGAAGGTGGCCGCCTACGACAAGCTGGAGAAGACCAAGACGCGGCTGCAGCAGGAGCTGGACGACCTGCTGGTGGACCTGGACCACCAGCGCCAGAGCGCGTGCAACCTGGAGAAGAAGCAGAAGAAGTTTGACCAGGTGTGTGGCCGTTGGCCCCATCCTTTGCATTTCCTCTCCTTCAAGCACTGAGTCCAAAGCAAAGGGCCCATCAGAGAAAGCCTGGGCTCCCTCAGGGTCTCGCCGGGGAGGGGCCGTGCGGGGCCAGTGCTTAGAGGACCCTCAGGCTCTGGCTTGTTGAGGGTCCCAGGGAGAAGGCCAGCGGAAGAGGGCGTCTTCATGCGATGGGTTGAGGAGTGACTTTTCCTTTCTGATTTTTTACATTTTTCAGATTTTCTCTAATGAACTGGTTTGACTGTCTTTTTTTTTTTTTTTTTTTTTTTAATTTTTTTATTGATCATTCTTGGGTGTTTCTCGCAGAGGGGGATTTGGCAGGGTCATAGGACAATAGTGGAGGGAAGGTCAGCAGATAAACAAGTGAACAAAGGTCTCCGGTTTTCCTAGGCAGAGGACCCTTTGGCCTTCCGCAGTGTTTGTGTCCCTGGGTACTTGAGATTAGGGAGTGGTGATGACTCTTAAGAGCATGCTGCCTTCAAGCATCTGTTTAACAAAGCACATCTTGCACCGCCCTTAATCCATTTAACCCTGAGTGGACACAGCACATGTTTCAGAGAGCACAGGGTTGGGGGTAAGGTCACAGATCAACAAGATCCCAAGGCAGAAGAATTTTTCTTGTACACAACAAAATGAAAAGTCTCCCATGTATACTTCTTTCTACACAGACACGGCAACCATCCGATTTCTCAATCTTTTCCCCACCTTTCCCCCCTTTCTATTCCACAAAACCGCCATTGTCATCATGGCCCGCTATCAATGAGCTGTTGGGTACACCTCCCAGACGGGGTGGTGGCCTGGCAGAGGGGCTCCTCACTAACCAGTAGGGGCGGCCGGGCAGAGGCGCCCCTCACCTCCCGGACGGGGCGGCTGGCCTGGCGGGGGGCTGACCCCCCCACCTCCCTCCCGGATGGGGTGGCTGCCGGGCGGAGACGCTCCTCACTTCCCAGACGGGGTGGCCGCCGGGCGGAGGGGCTCCTCACCTCTCAGACGGGGCGGCTGCAGGGCGGAGGGGCTCCTCACCTCTCAGACGGGGCGGTTGCCAGGCAGAGGGTCTCCTCACTTCTCAGACGGGGCGGCCGGGCAGAGATGCTCCTCACCTCCCAGACGGGGTCGCCACTGGGCAGAGGCACTCCTCACATCCCAGACGGGGCGGCGGGGCAGAGGCGCTCCCCACATCTCAGACGATGGGCGGCCGGGCAGAGACGCTCCTCACTTCCTAGATGTGATGGCGGCCGGGAAGAGGCGCTCCTCACCTCCTAGATGGGATGGCGGCCGGGCAGAGACACCCCTCACCTTCCAGACTGGGCAGCCAGGCAGAGGGGCTCCTCACATCCCAGACGATGGGCGGCCAGGCAGAGACGCTCCTCACTTCCCAGATGGGGTGGCGGCCGGGAAGAGGCTGCAATCTTGGCATTTTGGGAGGCCAAGGCAGGCGGCTGGGAGGTGGAGGCTGTAGCAAGCCGAGATCACGCCACTGCACTCCAGCCTGGGCTCCATTGAGCACTGAGTTAAAATCACTTTAATTATCATTATATCATTACATTATTATAATTATTTAATTATAGTTTGGGTTTTTTTAAAATAGTTTGGGTTTTTTTTTTTTTTTTTTTTGGAGACTGTCTCTGTCTGTTGCCCAGGCTGGGGTGCCGTGGTGCAACCACAGCTCAAGTGATCCTCCCACATCAGCTTCCTGAGTGGCTGGGACCACAGGCGTGCACCACCACCACACCCAGCTAATTTTTAGATGTTTTTCATAGTGACAGGGATCTCACCATATCGCCCAGGCTGGTCTCAAACTCCTGCGGTTTGACTGTCTTTTAAACGATTTATTTATGCATTCATATCACTTCCTTATTCCAAAAGATCTGAGAGCAGCTGAGGGGGATGTGGACTCGGGGGCAGGATAGAACAGTAGAAGACATCGGGCAGCCAACTGTGGTAGCCGGATCCGGCCCCTGCATTTTGTAGGGAACGATAGACTGAACACAGCCACGCTCCATGGTTCTCATGTTGTCTCTGGTTGCTTTGTGCTGTGGTAGTGGGGTTGAGCCATTGCTGCAGAGACTGTAGGGCCTGCATACTCTAAAGAATGCACTATCTGGCCCTTTAGGAAATGGTCAGCAACCCATGGGATAATTAAGGTTTGGGCCAAAAGGAAGGGAAGGTGGGGAAATAGGATAGAGCCAGGTGGGTGCACACAGAGAACAGATGCCAGGGGACAGCAGCTGTCATTAGAGAAGACCACAAATGGGGTTCAGGCTTCTTGGCAGCCAGCTTGGCATTCACTTCGTGAAAAGTGCCAACCAAATGCCAGCTGTGGTTCAGGAGAACCAAAGCTCTTACAGGTTTGGAGGGCTCTCATGGAAGGGGCAGCGTGCCATAAAGGGTTGCGATTAGTAAGTGATGAAAATTAAACAGACGTTACAACATGGTGTTCGCAGTAGTGCCTGCTCCAGTCGGCAGTCATCCCATCATGAGGATGCACGGGACTGTGTGTATTGTCCTGGGCACAGCCCTGGGCCTGTGCTTCCTAGGCCTGCTCCTCTCCACCGTGGCCTCTGGGCTCCTCCTTCCCCAGGGAGCTTAGGCCCAGCTGCCCTGCCCTGCTGGGGGCCGTAGCTCTGAGCCTCATGGTGCCCACCTCTTTCCCAGCTCCTGGCGGAGGAGAAGACCATCTCTGCCAAGTATGCAGAGGAGCGCGACCGGGCTGAGGCGGAGGCCCGAGAGAAGGAGACCAAGGCTCTGTCGCTGGCCCGGGCCCTGGAGGAAGCCATGGAGCAGAAGGCGGAGCTGGAGCGGCTCAACAAGCAGTTCCGCACGGAGATGGAGGACCTTATGAGCTCCAAGGATGATGTGGGCAAGAGTGTGAGTCCTGGGCCTGGCAGCCAGGTCTTGGGAAGGGCCCGAGTGGGGTCATCACAGAGGGTCGGTGTGTGCACAGACTCCGGGTCGCGCAGACCCAGGTACCTGCCAGTCCCTTTGCTCCTGACTTGGGCTCTCTGGGGCTCAGGTCCACGAGCTGGAGAAGTCCAAGCGGGCCCTAGAGCAGCAGGTGGAGGAGATGAAGACGCAGCTGGAAGAGCTGGAGGACGAGCTGCAGGCCACCGAAGATGCCAAGCTGCGGTTGGAGGTCAACCTGCAGGCCATGAAGGCCCAGTTCGAGCGGGACCTGCAGGGCCGGGACGAGCAGAGCGAGGAGAAGAAGAAGCAGCTGGTCAGACAGGTGTGCATGGCCTCCTGCTACCCCATGGGTGCCCAAGGCTGCCTTGGCTTCACGCAGGCTTCTGTTCTCTCCTTCCACCTGGATTGTGTTAGGGCCCCTTGACCACGCCTCCCCTCCCATATTCCTTCTTTCTAGCCTCCTGTCTCGGGGTTCAGTGACTCACTTTCTTAGAGTTCTTATGGTCAGTAATCCCCACTGGTTTCCCGAGGCCCCATGGATCCTGCAGAACTGGCCTGAGGCTCCTGAGTTCAGAGCTAGGGCAGGGTCTCCCAGTGGGTCCAGCTTCCCAAGTTGTTGATGTTCCTTCCCCCAGGTGCGGGAGATGGAGGCAGAGCTGGAGGACGAGAGGAAGCAGCGCTCGATGGCAGTGGCCGCCCGGAAGAAGCTGGAGATGGACCTGAAGGACCTGGAGGCGCACATCGACTCGGCCAACAAGAACCGGGACGAAGCCATCAAACAGCTGCGGAAGCTGCAGGTAAGGGTGGGCGGGGCCCAGGTGAGGGTGGGCGGCACCCGACTGAGCCAACTACATATGAAGGTGCCAGGGCTCGGCCCAGGGCGGGAACCTGGCAGGGTGGCACCTCCTGGGAAGGTCCTGGGTGCTTCCAGCCCCATCTCACTGACAGAGACTCAGAGGCTCAGAGGTGAGTGGAAACATGATAGTCCAACAGCAAACTTGCAAAACGGTGTATGACTGGGTACATAAAACACAGAAGCAAACAAGTACAAGCCTAGACATGGGTGGAGTTCAAGAAGGTCTCACTTAATGCAGACTTCCAGAATCACCCGGGTCCTGACACCCTTCAGCCTTCTGGGCTCTGGGGCGATGGTTCCAAGAAGCAGCCCGGAGTGTGGGACACATACTTGGAAATCTTCACCTCACTAATAATTAAAGAATAATTAACACGTAAAAACAGCTCTGATACGCCATATCATGTAACAAGAATAACCTTAGTTTAACAAATTTTTTTTTGTTTGTTTGTTTGAGACGGAGTCTCGCTCTGTCGCTCAGGCTGGAGTGCAGTGGCATGATCTCGGCTTGCTGCAAGCTCCGCCTCCCGGGTTCACGCCATTCTCCTGCCTCAGCCTCCCCAGCAGCTGGGACTACAGGCGCACGCCGCCACGCCCGGCTAATTTTTGTATTTTTAGTAGAGACGGGGTTTCACCATGTTAGCCAGGATGGTCTCAATCTCCTGACCTTGTGATCCACCCGCCTCGGCCTCCCAAAGTGCTGGGATTACAAGCATGAGCCACTGCGCCCGGCCAAAAAAAAAATGTTAAGTGTAAAAAAAAAACCCACAAAAACTTTAAAACTTCATTGTGGTCAAGGTTGTGGGCATAGATGCTCTGATTGCTGGTGGCATTTTTTTACTGGTGTGGTCGGGCTGCACACAGCCAGTCACTCTCTTTGATTTGGGGAATCTCAATTTCGGATTTATCTGCAAAAGGAAAAAAAGGCTATTTGACAAAGGTCTTTAGTGTTAAAAGAAGTAACAGGAGAATAACAAAAGGAAAGGTGTTTCCTGCCTGTGGTGGGGATGGACCGGCAGGCTGGGCACTGGTTTTGAGTGGCAGGTGCGCATTAGGGGTGGCACCATGGGCACTGGCTTCCGGCCCACAGGAGGGGACAGAAAGTAGAAAATGAAGCTCAGCTTGGGCTCACGTCCACGGTGACGAACACTGTCAAAGTGTGCATTACGGGGTGGGATACACAGATGATTGTCTTTAGTTGCCTTTTTGCCCTGTCACCACGGTTAGTTGGTTAAATACAGCATTGAGTGGAGCACCAGCCATGAGCCCTGTTGGCGAGGTGACCCATGAGGGTTGGGGTGGAGGGCCAAGGAGCTGGGTGGGGTGCCAAGCCTCTGTCCCCACCCCAGGCCCAGATGAAGGACTGCATGCGCGAGCTGGATGACACCCGCGCCTCTCGTGAGGAGATCCTGGCCCAGGCCAAAGAGAACGAGAAGAAGCTGAAGAGCATGGAGGCCGAGATGATCCAGTTGCAGGAGGTGGGTGGGGCTGCAATGGAGAGCGGCACCGCTGCCCTGCGGCCAGCAGGTGGCAGCGTGGGGCTTTCAGCTGAGGACAGGGCTGGAGTCCTACTGGGCTCCAGGAATTGGCTGGGGATGGCTCTCAGGTTACATAAGGATTCCCTCCAGGGTTCCGTTTCATAGCGGGGCTCCCTCGTATGATCAGAGTGTGTGTGTGTGTGAAACTGGCATCCCTCACATGAGATGAGGCTTTGTGGCCACCACCACCTCCTGCTGTGAATGCTGCCTGGTGAGAAGGGGTCTGAGCGTCCCCTCGGCCGCCCTGCCCGTCGCACCTGAGCCCGTCCTGAAGTGTTTCCCAGGTCTGGAGGGTGCCCTGCAGCGTGATGTGCCGGCTGCGAGTGCGTCCAGGGTGTAGCCATCTGCCTGTGGCCTCCAGAGCTGACTCCAAGCTCTGGCTTACCCAGAACAGGGAGGGGCCGCCCTGAGTGACTCTGTCCACGTGGTCTCCCTGGTTAGGCCAGGACACTTCTTACTTATCGCCATACCCTGGCACCTGGCTTGATTCCTAGCACTTAAATGTAAGAGTTTTATAAACATATGGTGTTTAAGCTATATCTTCAGGGGGGCACCAGCCCTGTGAGCTAGAGGGTTTCTGGAGGAAGGGCTTCGTGGGGAGGTGGGCCTGGGGAAGGGCTTGAGGGGAGGGTGCCTGGGGCTGGGAAGGATGGTCTTGTGGGGCTGTGGCTGCCTTTAGGTCACACTCTGGGTCTTTGTGGCAGGAACTGGCAGCCGCGGAGCGTGCCAAGCGCCAGGCCCAGCAGGAGCGGGATGAGCTGGCTGACGAGATCGCCAACAGCAGCGGCAAAGGGTGAGCTGAGTGAGGGGGCAGAGTTGGGGGGGACCAGGTGTGTCCCCAGGGTAGGCCCCTCACTTCTCCCGCCCACCCCGCAGAGCCCTGGCGTTAGAGGAGAAGCGGCGTCTGGAGGCCCGCATCGCCCAGCTGGAGGAGGAGCTGGAGGAGGAGCAGGGCAACACGGAGCTGATCAACGACCGGCTGAAGAAGGCCAACCTGCAGGTGGGTGCCAGGACTTCTCCCACTCTGGGCTCTGGCTGGAGCCACCACGGCAGAGCTGGCCTTGGACCCAGCCGGCAGAAGCACAGGCCAAGTGCCAGCTGCTCCCCAGGCGCTTAGGGGAAAATGTCCAGGCACCTGGACCTGAAAGGTCCCCCTCTGGCTTCTGTGTTGGGTGTTCAGAAGTTTCTAATCTTCCCTTTTCTGGGAGACCCAAGACTCTGGACCCCAAGGGTTTGGTGGGATCCTGCTGCCACCTTCCTCTGGCCCTGCTCATGCCCTCCAGCCAGGGCCCCAGCCCTCCCCAAGGTCACTGGCCCTTCTTCTGCAGATCGACCA